>NW_025791777.1:860094-1015280 GCF_000001405.40 Homo sapiens | reverse complement strand
CTCATCTCCCTCTGAGACCACCTCCGCCTGGACCTTGTTGTCCATATCACTATTAACATTTTGGTCAAAGCCATTCAACAAGTCTCTAGGAAGTTCCAAACTTTCCCACATTTTCCTATCCTCTTCTGAGCCTTCCAAACTGTTCCAGCCTCTCCCTGTTACCCATTTCCAAAGTTGCTTCCACATTTTCGGGTATCTTTACAGCAGCACCCCACTCTACTGGTATCAACTTATTGTATTAGTCTGTTCTCACACCGCAAATAAAGACATACCTGAGACTGGGTAATTTATAAAGGAAAGAGGTTGAATTGACTCACAGTTCTGCATGGCTGGGGAGGCCTCACAATCATGGTGGAAGGCAAGGAGGTGCAAAAGCATGTCTCACATAGTGGCAGGCAGGAGAGAGCATGTGCAGGGGAGCTCCCATTTATAAAACCATCAGATCTCATGAGACTTAGTCACTACCGCGAGAACAGTATGGGGGGAACCATCCCCATGATTCAGTTATCTGCACCCGGCCCCACCCTTGACACGTGGGAATTATTACAATGCAAGGTGAGATTTGGGTGGGGACCCATCCAAACTATGTCAGTATGTTTTGACTTCTTGCTTGATTGCTAGGTTGCATAGAGGACAAACATGGAAATTAATGAAGTACCTTAATATCTGGCTTCAGATCTTAGACAGGATCAGAGGGCCAGCTCAAATTTGCAAGGAGGGGAGGTAGATCCCACCATTTTATGGGTGAATGGCAAAATCAAACAGAAATTATGTGGGATGGGAGATACTGATGCAGCCATCTTTGGAAACATTCTACTTAGCTAATTTTATGCTAGGCTTTAGGTCAAGAAGGAGAGAGAGAGCTGACATGCTGTGGTACACACTTATAGTCCCAGCGACTTGGAAAGCTGAGGCAGGAGGATTGCTTGATCCCAGGAGTTTGAGGTAGTGTGCGATGATCGTTCTTGTGAATAGCCACTAGCCACTGAACTCCAGCTTGGGCAACATTGAGACACCCTGTCTCTTAATTTAAAAAAAAAAAAAAAAAAAGGAAAGAAAGTGGTCTCAGTTTTTAATGTAAGTATTTTTAATGGGATAATGATATTTTAAGATTAATGTATATTGTATATCAGTTAACTGTAGGTCAATAATTATATAAAACTTAAGGTATGAAAAACATTTATTTTTGCTAACATATCTGTGAGTTGACTGTTCTTGGCTTGGTGAGGCTGCAAGCTGCAGATAGAGTCTAGGTATGTTTTCTGTGTGTTTGTTCCCCCTTGGATCAGTGGACTACCTGAGAATGTGTTTTTGTCACAGTGATAGAATCACAAGGAAACTCCAGTTCTGGAAGTACATTTTAAGCCATTGCTTCTCTCATGTCCACTAACATTCAGTCAGCCAAAGCACATACCTTGTCCATGGCTAACATTGATAGTATAGATAAATATACCTGATCTCTAGCAGGAGGAACTGCATTGTCTTGGGGAAAGGTTTTAGATATAGGGAGGGGTGATGAGTTGGGAACAATAATGTAGTCTGCCACAAACATATTAAAGTGTAACTGGATATGGTTGCTGCAGAATTTTGAACCTTTGTTTTAATTGTGATTTTTACTCTTTTCCCCCTATCTAGTGCCCTTTTGTAATACAGTAATTATCATGATTTTTGTCTGAACTGAAATCTTCTGAGATTAGATTGTCTACGAAAATACAGTCGATCCTCCTTGTTTTCAGCTTTTGTATTTGTGAACTCACCTACTATTTTTTGTAACCCCCAAATCAGTACTCACAGCACTTTCATAGTCATGTGTTTGCGCAGAGTGTCAAAGAATTTGAGTTTGAACAGGATGATATTCTGCCTTCTTTTTCAGCTCTCATACAATAGTCAGGTATCCTTTTTGTGGTCTATTTAATGCCATGCTTTTCCTGTTTTTGTGCTGTTTGTTGGTTGTTTTGCCATTTAAATTAACCCCCAAGCATAGTGCTGAAGTGCTGCTTAGCATTCACAAGTCCAAGAAGTCTGTGATGTGTCTTACAGAGAAAATACATGCATTAAATAAACTCCATTCAGGCGTGAGTGCTGTAGTGCCGTTGGCTGTGAGTTCAATGTTAATGAATGAACAATGTATATTATTTATTTATTCTTCATTTAATTAATTATTATTATTATTTTTTTTGAGATAGAGTCTCACTCTGTTGCTCAGGCTGGAGTGCAGTGGTGCAGTCTTGGCTCACTGCAACCTCTGCCTCCTGGGTTCAAGCGATTCCCCTGCCTTAGCCTCCCAAGTAGCTAAGACTACAGGCATGCGCCACCATGCCTGGCTAATTTTTTTTTTTTTTTTTTTTTTTTGTAGTTTTAGTAGAGACGGGGTTTCACCACGTTGGCCAGGCTGGTCTCGAACTCCAGACCTCAAATGATCTGCCCGCCTTGGCTTCGCAAAGTGCTGGGATTACAGGCGTTAGCCACTGTGCCTGGCCAACAATATATATTAAATAAGCACACATACAACAAAAGTAGGTGTTGGTAAGCTTACAAAAGTGTGACCAGTAGCTTGCTGAAACCTAACTTTTTATTTGTTCATGGAACTTTCTAGACCGTAACTACACTGAATAATGAGAATCTGCTGTAATCTTTTTAGGTGCTGTAGATGAGCCATTGGATTAAATTATTACAGTATGTTTCAGACTGCTGTATGTTGAACCCTAGTGAAATGCCTCTCAAACCTTCATAAGGATCACAATCTCATGTCCTTTTTTTTTGTTATTAAATGCCCAGTATGTGTTAGCGATTTAAACAAAATTCAAATATTTTTTTTTTTTTTTGAGACAGAGTCTCGCTCTGTCACCTAAGCTGGAGAGTGCAGTGGTATGATCTCGGCTCACTACAACCTCTGCCTCCCGGGTTCAGGCGATTCTCCTGCCTCAGCATCCTGAGTAGCTGGGATTACAGGCACCCGCCACCACGCTGGGCTAATTTTTGTATTTTTAGTAGAGACGGGGTTTCGCCAGGTTGTCCAGGCTGGTCTGGAACTCCTGACCTCATGCGATCTGCCTGCCTTGGCCTCCTGAAGTGCTGGGATTATAGGCGTGAGCCACCATGCCCGGCGTTGACTTCTTAATAATAACCATACTGACTGGTGTGAGATGGTATGCCATTGTGGTTTTGATTTGCATTTCTCTAATGATCAGTGATATTGAGCTTTTTCTCATATGCTTGTTGGCCGCATGTGTGTCTTCTTTTGAAGTGTCTGTTTATGTCCTGTGCCCACTTTCTAATGAGATTTTTTTTTTTCTTGTAAATTTGTTTAAGTTCCTTATCAGTGTTGGACATTAGATCTTTGTCACATGCATTGTTGCAAAAATTTTCTCCCATTCTGTAGGTTGTCTGTTCACTCTGTTGATAGTTTCTTTTGCTGTGCAGAAGCTTCAAGAAGAAAGGAATCCGATTGGTTCTGTGTCTGTCTCTTTTGGTATTCTCAGAATTATGTAGTCATTCATATAGAAAGATGATTAGGAAAATAGGACAAGAATAGCAGAAATCTACATAAAAATGTAGGAAATTAAAATTAGTTACCAGCATACAAAAAACTTCTGTATGTTATAATTACATACTATAACTCACCCCTCCTTGGCAAATATTCTCTCTCTTTTAACTTCAAAATCATGGCTTATATGTACTTTCTCTATTTCCCAGATGCAAATATAATTAATTGACTTTATTTATCTAGGAAATGTTACTCATATCTTAATTGTAGTCATTGGCTTGAGTGACGGGTTTTGGTAATTCAACTACTATTACTTGAAAGTAGTAGATTTCATAGGATACTGTTATAAAATCTTTTTAACCTCTTTTCTGATTTCAGGAGTAATTAGTAATTGTGGTTTACTGGAAAATTCAATGAATAGGGTGTTAAAGGAAGCAATTCATTAATAATATATCTAATCTATTGGGAGACTGAGGCGGGTGGATCACCTGAGTTCAGGAGTTCGAGACCAGCCTGGCCAACATGGCAAAACTCCGTCTCTACTGAAAATAGAAAAATTCGCCGGGCATGGTGGTGCATTCCTGTATTCCCAGGTACTCGGAAGGCTGAGGCAGGAGAATCACCTGAACTCCAGAGGTGGAGGTTGCAGCGAGTCAGGATCGCAGCACTACACTGCAGCCTGGGTGACAGTGAGACTCCATCTCAAAAAAAAAAAAAAAAAAAATTAAAAAATTAAATTAAAAGCGGGCTGGGCGCATTGGTTCAGGGCCGGGCACGGTGGCTCAAGCCTGTAATCCCAGCACTTTGGGAGGCCGAGGCAGGCGGATCACGAGGTCAGGAGATCAAGACCATCCTGGCTAATGTGGTGAAACCCCGTCTCTACTAACAATACAAAAATTAGCTGGATGTGGTGGCAGGTGCCTGTAATCCCAGCTATTCCAGAGGCTGAGGCAGGAGAATCACTTGAACCTGGGAGGCAGAGGTTTCAGTGAGTCCAGATCATGCCACTGCACTCCAGCCTGGGTGACAGAGCGAGATTCTATCTCAAAAAAAAAAAAAAAAAGCAACAGAAGCAAATGAGAGTGCCTGGGAGTGGTCATTGTGGGGCCTTCCCGTTTGTGTGACCCAGGTCATGTCCCTCCCTAAGCCCTGGTCTCTCTTGCCTCCTGCAGGGCTGGTGAATTACCAGATCTCCGTCAAGTGCAGTAACCAGTTCAAGTTGGAAGTGTGTCTTTTGAATGCAGAAAACAAAGTCGTGGACAACCAGGCTGGGACCCAGGGCCAGCTGAAGGTGCTGGGTGCCAACCTCTGGTGGCCGTACCTGATGCACGAACACCCCGCCTACCTGTACTCGTGGGAGGTAATGGTGGTTTGGGACTTGCGTAAGGGAGGTCTTTTGCCCCCATCTGGTAGCCCTGGCTTCAGCAGGAGCCCAGGACAGGTGAACGGGCAGGTGTGGTCCTCTGAGCTTTCTGATGTTTCCCACCCTTGGTGGGAGGCCCAGATTTTTTATTTATTTATTTATTTATTTATTTATTTGTTTGTTTGTTTGTTTGTTTGTTTGTTTTTGTGATGGTCTCACTCTGTCACCCAGGCTGTAATGCAATGGCCTGATCACAGCTCACTGCAGCTTTGAGCTGCAATCCTCCTACCTTGGCCTCCTGAGTAGCTGGGACTACAGGCACATGCCACCATGCCTGGCTAATTAAAAAAATTTTTTTTGTAGGCCGGGCATGGTGGCTCACACCTGTAATCCCAGCACTTCGGGAGGCTGACGCGGGCAGATCACTTTAGGCCAGGAGTTGGAGACCAGCCTGGCCAACATGGTGAAACCCCGTCTCTACTAAAATATGAAAATTTGCAGGGCATGATGGTGCACGTCTGTAATCCCAGCTACTCGGGAGGCTGAGGCAGGGGAATTGCTTGAACCCAGGAGGCAGGGGCCGCGGTGAATTGAGATCATGCCGCAGCACTCTATCCTGGGTGACAGAGTGAGACTGTCACAAAAAAAAAAAACTCCTTTTTATAGAGTTGGGGTCTTACTAGGTTGCCCAGGCTGGTCTTGAACTCCTGGACTCAGGTGATCCTCCTGCCTTAGCCTCCCAAGGTGTAGGGATTCCAGGCATGAGCCACCTCGTCTGGTCAAGGAGAAGGCCTGATTTTGAAGGGCAGGTCCCAGGGTCAGCCAGTGAAGGGCAGAGCCTCTGATTGCTGCTTCTCTGCAGGCCCAGTGGCGACTTCTGGGGTGCATGCACGAGGGGTCTTCCTGCTGTAGGGCAGGCCAGATGGGGCTCAGGCTGTCGGGGCGCTCACACCTGGCGCTTTGGCTGTCGTAGGTGCGGCTGACTGCACAGAAGTCACTGGGGCCTTTGACTTCTACACACTCCCTGTGGGGCTCCGCACTGTGCCCGTCACCGAGAGCCAGTGGGTGAGAGCCAGTTTCATTTGCGGTAGAGGCAGCAGAGGTTGTAGAAATGCTCCTTGAGGCAGATGCCACACCCCAATTTCATGGAGTGATTTGGGCTGAGCCGAGTCTGCAGCAGGCAGAAGGCTCTGAGATGTTGTCCTAGCCTGGGCAAAGGACAATTCAGAGCTCGGGGGAATAGGGGTGTGCTCAGCACGACTGGGTGGACAGGCCGTTTGTTGTGAATCGTACAGGCTTCCAGGAGCGGGTGCCTGAGGCTTCCAGACAGGCTTTGGGAGGTGGCCAGAGGAGATGCCTGTTTCCGGGGCAGGAAATGGAGGGAGGGCCCAGGCTGGAGAGGTTCAGCCAGGCTGTCACAAGGCTTTGAAGCTTCCCATCTGAGAGCCTGGCTATTGGAGAGTGTGGGTTTGGAACTTGAGGCTAGGAGGTTCTATTCTGTCCTGTGCCAGCCACAGCCTTCGGATGGGCAGAGCAATGATGGGGGGAAGATGTAAAAGAAAAGAACTGAGGAAAGAAGAAGAAAACCAGCTTCAACAACGGTCTAGGCCGGATGCGGTGGGTCACGCCTGTAATCCCAGCAGTTTGGGAGGCTGAGGTGGGTGGATCACCCGAGGTCAGGAGTTCGAGACCAGCCTGGTCAACAGGTAGTGAATCCTGTCTCTACTAAAAATACAAAAATTAGCTGGGCATGGTGGTGGACGTCTGTAATCCCAGCTACCAGGTAGGCTGAGGCAGGAGAATCGCCTCAGGTGAACCAGGAGGCAGAGATTGCAATGAGCTGAGATAATGCCACTGCATTCCAGCCTGGGCTACAGAATGAGACTCTGTATCTCAACAAAACAAAACAAAACAAAAACACAACAGTCTGTTCTGTGGAGGCCTTGGGCAGATGCTGGGAGCTCTGAGCGCGGACTGGTCCCTCTGTTGGGAGCCTCTTCCCTTCATCCCTCCTGGTTAACTTGACTCAGCATAAAGGCCATTTCTTCTAAGAGCCTGTCCCTGACTCTCCAATCGGGGATGTGTCTGTTGTCTCATAGAGTGCCCAATTCCTGCCACCACTTGTCATTTCCATTCGCAACATTTCTTTCATTGTTTGTTTTTCAGAGTCAGGGTCTCACTCTGTTGCCCAGGCTGGAGTGCAGTGGTGCAATCATAGCTCGTTGCCATCTCGACCTCCTGGGCTTAAGCGATCCTCCCCACTCAGCCTCCCAAATAGCTGGGACCACAGACGTGCGCTGCCTTGCCAGGCTAAATTTTAATATTTTTTTTTTCCCCACGAGTCAGAGTCTTGCTCTGTCTCCCAGGCTGGAGAGCAGTGTTGCGATCTTGGCTCACTGCATCCTCTACCTCCTGGGTACAAACAGTTCTCCTGCCTCACCCTCCCGAGTAGCTGGGATTACAGGCTCACGCCACCATGCCCAGCTAGTTTTCTTCTTTATTTTTTGTTGAGATGGGGTTTCACCATGTTGGCCAGGCTGGTCTCGAACTCTTGAGCTCGTGATCCACCTGCCTTGGCCTCCCAAAGTGCTCACAGGCTTGAGCCACCATGCCCGGCCCTAATTTTTAAATTTGTTGTAGAAACAAGGTCTTGCTATGTTGTCCAGGCTGGTCTCAAGCGCCTGGTCTCAAGTAAGCCTCCCAAAGTGCTGGGGTTCTAGGCGTGAGCCACCTCGCCTGGCACTTGCACCGTTTTTCTGTGCATGCATCTCCACTCCCACTGCCCAGGACCTGTGGACTTAGATTTGAGTCATTACTGAGCACCTAGCACCCAGCCTCATGCCTACCTCCCACCTCGCACTACCTGTTTGCTTGATGCATTAATAAATATTCCACCTGAATCCACAGCCCATTCACTCCTGTGTTCAAGAGCTATTTCAGGAAGTGAACCTCATTTCTGGCAGTGTTCAGTCCAGTGACCTCAGCTCTGTGTACCCGGCAGGGTGGCTACGCCTCTGGGGGAGTTGGATTCAGGGGTGGGGGAGAAAGAGTGTTGTTAGAGAGCTCGGTCTAGGACTAGAGGAACGTGCCCTTATGTAAAATACATCTCAAGTTAGGGAAGAAAGCAGCGGCTCTGTGCTTTGTTTTTTTTTTTTTTTTTTCCTTTTTTTTCTTTCTTTTTTTTTTTTTGTTTGTTTGTTTGTTTGTTTGTTTTGGGGCAGGGTCTTGCTCTGTGGCCCAGGCTGGAGTGCAGTAGCGTGATTTCGGCTCACTGCAACCTCCACCTCCCGGGTTCAAGCAATTCTTGTGCCTCAGCCTCCCGAGTAGCTGGAGTTACAGATGCGTGCCACTATGCCTGGCTAATTTTTGTATATTTAGTAGAAATGGGGTTTTGCCATGTTGGCCAGGCGGTTCTTGAACCCCTGACCTCAGTGATCTGCCTGTCTCAGCCTCCTGAAGTGCTGGGATTACAGGCGTGAGCCATCGTGCCTGGCCCCCAGTTGTGTTCTGGCAGGGGAAGATGGGACAGAGAGGATGGGAGGGTGTCTGAGCCTTTCCCGGACTGACGGAACCTGTGTCTTCTCTCTTTTGTGGACAGGATGGTGATTGCTCACACCAAAGCCTTGGACCCCTCCCAGCCTGTGACCTTTGTGACCAACTCCACCTACGCAGCAGACAAGGGGGTGAGCCTGGGGGTCCCCACCCCATTTCTCCCTGCCTTTGCCTGGGCTTGTCCTGAAGCCTGCTCATGGGAACAGCTGGAAAGAACCATGTGCTGCCAGTCTGAGCTTTTTATTTTGTTTTACTTAGAAAGATAGAGACAGGGTCTTGCCATGTTGCCCAGGCTGGTCTCGAACTCCTGGGCTCAAGTGATCCTCCTGCCTCGGCCTTCCAAAGGGCTGGGGTTACAGGCGTGTGCCACCGCACTCAGCCGCAGCCAGTCTGTTTTCAAAGATGGTCTTTGGGTTAATGACAATTCTCTCTCTGCTTACTCTCCAGGCAGTGTGGCTTTCTGAATCCAAGGAGGCTGGGCATAGGGAGATGGGATTTGTTTGCCCGGTTTGGACTCAGCATTTTTTGTACTCGATTTAATAGACTCATAAAATGTCAAAGGTTTAAGTGAGCTTAGAGTTCATCTGGCCCAAACCTGGCTGATCAGAATCTCCAGGGGAAGTTTTATTGAAATGCCAGATCTCTGCGTTCTGAGATCCTGATTTAGTAACTCCAGGGTTGGAACCTGAGTTTTTTGTTTTTTTGTGTGTGTGTGTGAAGGCAAGGTCTTACTCTGTTGCTCTGGCTGGAGTGCAGTGGTGTGATCACAGCTCACTGCAGCCTTGAATTCCTGGGCCTAAGCAACCCTCTTGCCTCAGCCTTCCAAGTAGCTGGGACTCCGGGTGTACACCACTGTGCCCGGCTAATTTTAAATGTTTTTGTAGAGATGGGATCTCACTATGTTGCCCAGGCCAGTCTCAAACTCTTGAGCTCAAGTGATCCTCCTGCCTTAGCCTCCTAAAGTGCTGGGATTACAGGCATGAGCCACCGTGCCTGGCTGATACTAGCATTCTTTTTTATTTTTTATTATTTTTTTAAGATAGAGTCTTGCTCTGTTGCCCAGGCTGGAGTGCAGTGGCACAGTCTCAGCTCAGTGCAACCTCCGCCTCCCAGGTTCAAGCAATTCTCCTGCCTCAGCCTCCCAAGTAGCTGGGATAACAGGCACATGCCACCACGCCTGCGCTTGATCGTGGGAGGCAGAGGTTGCATTATTGTGCCACTCCATTCTAGCCTGGGCAACAGAGCGAGACTCTGTCTTCCAAACAAAGCGGAAAAAGATTATCTGCGAGAATGACTGCATTGGCCCCTTGGGTGGGAGGGCTTCTCCAGGGCAAGGTGAGGGGATGCCCAGTGCTGGGAGTGCTGCCTGGAGAGGAGTCAGTTCCAGTGGCGGGGGCCCTGGGTTTTGGCTGAGGACTGCGTGTTGGCAGCTGCTCTGCCTCTCACAGCCCTTCCCAGCTGCACACGTCGTGAGCGTCAGTGTGCAATCACAGGCCTGCCTCCTTTGGGCCACTTTGTGACCATGTTTTTTGCTTGTGGGGCAGGGTAATTTCAGGATCTAAATTGGTGCAGTTGGATGTTCTCAGCCCCGAGAGGCAGCTCTTCCCGTTGTAGGCTTTTTGTTTTGTTTTGTAGAAATGGAGTCCTACGATGTTGCCCAGGCTGGTCTCAAACTCCTGGGCTCAAGTGATCCTCCCACCTTGGCCTCCCAATGTGCTGGGATTACAGGCATGAGCCACTGTGCCGTGCTGATTTTCTTGATACTATTTTTTGTAGAGCTGGGGTCTTGCTGTGTTGCCCAGGCTGGTCTCGAACTCCTGGCCACAAGCCACCCTCCTGCCTCAGCCTCCCAGAGTGCTGGGATTACATCCCCTTCTTACCTTCTCTGTCAGAGGAGCCCCCACAGCATGTGAGTACTGAGTCATGCGGTCTTGTGGTTGCTGAACGGGCTCTGCTGCTCTGGTCCTAGGCTCTGTATGTGGATGTGATCCGTGTGAACAGCTACTACTCTTGGTATCGCAACTACGGGCACCTGGAGTTGATTCAGCTGCAGCTGGCCGCCCAGTTTGAGAATTGGTGTAAGACATCACAATCCCATTATTCAGAGCGCGTATGGAGTGGAAACGCTTGTAGGGTTTCACCAGGTAAGCGGTGTTGAACTTTCTGCTTGTGTATTCTCTCTGGGCAGAGATGCCACTTGCCTCCCCCACCATGCCATCTCTGAAGAATATTACAGACCATTTTGGAGCATGGTGAATAAGAAATTTTCACCTTAGGAGTTCACTTGAATAGTCATTTTTATATTTGTGACTGCAAGTCACTCTTAGGGGCTGTACTTCCTTAGTACTGGTAGCATTATTATCCAATGGACTTTTATAGCTTTCATTAGGTTTTCTTTTGTTTTTGTTCTTTAAAGAACGTTTTACTTATCTTAGTATTTCATTTTTCATCTATATTATGAGGCAGTAAGAGTCTTCTGTTTTTCCAAAGTTGAGACTGCTTTATATTTATTTCGTATTGTCTACAGCTGTAGTGTTCAATACATTAGCCACTAGCCACATGTGGTTATTTAAATAAGATAAAATAAAAATTGGCCGGGCGTGGTGGGTCACGCCAGTAATCCCAGCACTTTGGGAGGCCGAGGCGGGCAGATCATTAGGTCAGGAGATCGAGACCATCCTTACTAAGACGGTGAACCCCCATCTCTATTAAAAATACAAAAAATTAGCCGGGCGTGGTGGCGGGCGCCTGCAGTCCCAGCTACTCAGGAGGCTGAGGCAGGAGAATGGCGTGAACCTGGGAGGCAGAGTTTGCAGTGAGCCGAGATGGCGCCACTGCACTCCAGCCTGGGGGACAGAGCGAGACTCCATCTCAAAAAAAAAAAGAAAATTAAAAATTAAGTTCTTTAGTTGCACTAGCCATATTTCAAATACTTGATGGATACATGTGGCTAGTGGCTAACATAAGGGATAGCACAGATATAAAACATTTCCTCGTCATATAAAGTTCTATTGGATAGTGCTGGTCTGTAGCTTATAGGATGGTATCTTAGTCTGCTTCAGCTGCTAAAACAGAATACCATAAATTAGGTAGCTTAAACAGTAGATATTTTGACCAGGCGTGGTGGCTTATGCCTGTATTCCTAACACTTTGGGAGGCCGAGGCAGGTGGATAACTTGAGCTCAGGAGTTTGAGACTAGCCTGGGCAGCATGGCAAAACCTTGTCTCTACGAAAATTAGCTGGGCGTGGTGGTGCACGCCTGTAGTCTGAGCTACTTGGGAGGCTGAGGTGGGAGAATTGCTTGAACCTGGGAGGCGGAGGTTGCAGTGAGCCATGATCGCACCACTGTACTCCAGCCTGGATGACAGAATGAGACTCTGTCTCAAAAAAAACAAAAACAAACAAACAAAAAAACAGATATTTCTCACAGTTCTGGAGACTGGAAGTGCAAGATCAAAGTGTTGGCAAATTGTGTTTCTTAAAGAGGGCCTGCTTCCTAGATTGGAAATGGCCATCTTCTCTCGGTATCCTCACATGGTAGGGAGAAAAGCAGCTCTAGTGTCTCTTCTTATAAAGGAAGTAATGCCACCATAGGGGCTCTATTCTCATGACCTCATCTAAACCTAATTCTCTCCTAAAGGCCACGCCTCCCAGTATCCTCACCTTGGGGGTTAGGGCTTTATCATATGAATTTTTTTTTTTTTTTTTTTTTGAGACAGAGTCTCGCTCTGTCTGTCACCCAGGCTGGAGTGCAGTGGCACAATCTCGGCTCTCTACAAGCTCCGCCTCCTGGGTTCACGCCGTTCTCCTGCGTCAGCCTCCTCAGTAGCTGGGACTAAGGCGCCCGCCACTGCGCCCGGCTAATTTTTTGTATTTTCAGTAGAGACGGGGTTTTACCATGTTAGCCAGGATGATCTCGATCTCCTGACCTCATGATCCACCCGCCTCGGCCTCCCAAAGTGCTGGGATTACAGGCATGAGCCACCGCGCCCGGCCTATCATATGAATTTTGAGGGAACACAAACATGCAGTCTGTAGCAGATGGTAATAGGCTGACATATTACACTTGTTGATGTAAATCTGATAGGTTTCTTTCTCTCCAAGGACAGCTTTTTAAATATTTAACAGTATCAATAATTTTTCAGGTTCTGTGAGAATTTTATAATTTATAATTTGCAGACTTAACGTATAATCTATTTTGTCCTAACAATTACAAATATATTTTTTATTTCAGATTGTATATATTCCTACCAGATGGAGATAATTACAGCTTTAAAAATTTTTATTTTTTCATTTTATTTCACACATTGACATTAAATTTTTATGGACACATAATAACTGTACATATATATGGGGTAGAATGTGATGTTTTAATACATGTACTCAATGTGTAATGATCAAATCAGGGTAATTTGCATAATGATTTTTCTGTAGGGAGAAAATTCAAAATCTACTCTTCTGGCTATTTTCAAATATATAATATGTTATTGTTAACTATACTCATCCTACTATGCAATAGGACACCAGAACTTATTCCTGGGTTCTACATCCGTTAAGGCAACCAAGGATTGGAAATATTGGAAAAAAAAATTGCGTCTGTACTGAACATGTACAGACTTTTTTCTTGTCCTTATTCCTTACACAATATAGTACAATAACTATTTGCATGACATTTACATCGGATATTATGAGTGATCTAGAGTTGATATGAAGTATATGGGAGGATGTGCAAAGGTGATGTGCAAATACTATGTCATTTTATATCAGGGACTTGAGTATCCTTTGTTACCCTCAGGAGATCCTGAAACCAGTCCCCCATGGATACTGAGGGCTGACTGTATAGTCCTATCCTCACGGAACTTTCATTCTAATGGGGGAAGACTGACTATAAACAAAATATATGTAATAGGTGGTGGTAAGTACCGTGGAGAAGTAACAAATGGGGCAAAGTGAGTTATACAGCTCCATTCTTAGAAACCTTGGAGTACTTTTCTTAGTTTATACTCGTGGTGGTTTCCTTTTGTCTCCTTTATTACATGGGACTCTGACATGTGCCCATAGCTAGGGTGACAGTAGGATCTACCCGATAGTAGGGTGGCAGTAGGATCTACCCAAAAAGCGTCCTGCTGATACAGGACCAAAGCATCCTGTTGTTCTCGAGCCTATAAAAAGAGCTAATGGTGTTGCTTCTCTTAACTGTGGCCTCCTACACTGTGTTTTGGATGATTGGTGATGTCTTGGATATTCTGTTTCTTTGGAACTTTGAATATACAACACTTTACTAGGGAATTAGCAATGGAAGCAGAGCAAAGATGTACAGAGGAAACAATGCGTAACTCTGATGGAATTGAAGTCATGAGGCAGCAGAGAGCTTAAATTACAGCTTTAAAAATTTTTATTTTTTAGAGGGAATTTACTTGGGAGTAACAGCAGTAATAGTTAACGGAGCCAGAATGCTTGAGTCATATAATTGCAAAGCAGAGTTGGGAGCAACAGATGCTAAAGAGTAGTTGCTGTAGTTCCTCTTTGGGTCGTAGGAGCAGTTGTCATATTACTATATAGCTACTGCATGAAGAAGAGTTCTTAGTGAGGCCTGGGTGAACAGCTCTTCTTAGTATTCTGTGTGACCCCATTTGACCTTTTAACAAATCCCTAAGTAAATAAATAGCCCCTCAGGAAAACTAAGTTTTTCTCTGCTGTTTTTTTGCTTGAGAGAGCTATAACTGTAATAGACTTATATTTCTGAACATTTTAGTGCTTGCCAATATTTGGTAATATTTATGTTTCCTATATTTGTAATGAACATTCTTCTTCCGGTACATTTTTTGTTAAATTATTGTTTGATGGATAAAAGTTCACCTTTTATTGTATAAAATTGACTGAGATTAATTTATACACATTGACAATGGGTAAATAGAATTTTTCAGATTATTAAAAGCTGAAGGATGCCCACGTAAGCAAAAAAAAAAAAGAAAAAACCAACAAAAATAAACCCAAACCCCTCAAACAATTTCGAACACGAAACATTCTTCTGATGCCGGCATCCCTGCTTGCAGGTGTGAAGGGGGCAGGAATCAGCGAGGTGTCCTGGGCTGAGTCCCCGGAGTGGGAAGAGGTGGCAGGAAGGGGATCTGAGGAGGAGAACAGGGGTCCTGGTGGTCTGTGCTTCTTCCCAGACACGGGAGCTGTAGAGGAGACCTCTGCAGCAGATGCTAGGGGGGCCAGTAGGCCCAGGCAGTCTTGGGACTTGGGTCTGTCCTGCTGTGCATCCATAGTGGGTGCTTTAGAAACGGGAGGCCCACCCGAAGCCCCTGTTGCAAGTGAGGACAAAGTGTGGGAAGGCCGTGAGGGTCTGCAGTCCGAGATGGCCTTGTCCTCAACGTGCAGTGCACTGTTGATGCGGGGCCTAGAGGCCTGGGATCTGGGGGAGCCACCCCTGGGGGCGAGTGTCTGCCCTGGTGCTGTACCTGCCTTGTTTTCACAGCGGTGACCCGAAGAGACAGCCTGAGGTCCGTCCTCACTCACTGTGTTTGAGGAACTGTGGGCCAGCTGGCAGTGGGATGAGGCTGGCCCCCTCCTCCGCTTTAGTTCCTGGAGGCCTTCCGTAGAGCTGTGGGAGCTGGAGCTGGCATTTCGTTTGAGGCAGGATCTGGTCCGGGAGGTCTGGGATCTCTGGTTATATCTCACTTCTGACCTCTGGGCACGTGCTGCAGCTGTGGCTGAGGCCAAGAAATGTGAGGGGCCTCCATCCACTGCATTGAGTAGCGACCCCGACGTGGGGTTCAATGTGGAGGGGGGAAGGGCTGCTGCGGCAGCTGCAGGAGCCGAGGTGCCAGGCCTTGTTCTTCTCATGCCGGCATCCCTGCTTGCAGCTGTGAAGGTGGCAGGAATCAGCGAGGTGACCTGGGCTGAGTCCCGGGAGTGGGAAGAGTTGGCAGGAAGGGGATCTGAGGAGGAGAACAGGGGTCCTGGTGGTCTGTGCTTCTTCCCAGACACGGGAGCTGTAGAGGGGACCTCTGCAGCAGATGCTAGGGGGGCCACTAGGCCCAGGCAGTCTTGGGACTTGGGTCTGTCCTGCTGTGCGTCCATAGTGGGTGCTTTAGAAACGGGAGGCCCACCCGAAGCCCCTGTTGCAAGTGAGGACAAAGTGTGGGAAGGCCGTGAGGGTCTGCAGTCCGAGATGGCCTTGTCCTCAACGTACAGTGCACTGTTGATGTGGGGCCTAGAGGCCTGGGATCTGGGGGAGCCTCCCCTGGGGGCGAGTGTCTGCCCTGGTGCTGTACCTGCCTTGTTTTCACAGCGGTGACCCGAAGAGACAGCCTGAGGTCCGTCCTCACTCACTGTGTTTGAGGAACTGTGGGCCAGCTGGCAGTGGGATGAGGCTGGCCCCCTCCTCCGCTTTAGTTCCTGGAGGCCTTCCGTAGAGCTGTGGGAGCTGGAGCTGGAGCTGGCATTTCGTTTGAGGCAGGATCTGGTCCGGGAGGTCTGGGATCTCTGGTTATATCTCACTTCTGACCTCTGGGCACGTGCTGCAGCTGTGGCTGAGGCCAAGAAATGTGAGGGGCCTCCATCCACTGCATTGAGTAGTGACCCCGACGTGTTGTTCAATGTGGAGGGGGGAGGGGCTGCTGTGGCAGCTGCAGGAGCCGACCTTGTTCTTCTCATGCCGGCATCCCTGCTTGCAGCTGTGAAGGTGGCAGGAATCAGCGAGGTGACCTGTGCTGTGTCCCGGGAGTGGTAAGAGGTGGCAGGAAGGGGATCTGAGGAGGAGAACAGGGGTCCTGGTGGTCTGTGCTTCTTCCCAGACACGGGAGCTGTAGAGGGGACCTCTGCAGCAGATGCTAGGGGGGCCAGTAGGCCCAGGGAGTCTTGGGACTTGGGTCTGTCCTGCTGTGCATCCATAGTGGGTGCTTTAGAAACGGGAGGCCCACCCGAAGCCCCTGTTGCAAGTGAGGACAAAGTGTGGGAAGGCCGTGAGGGTCTGCAGTCCGAGATGGCCTTGTCCTCAACGTGCAGTGCAGTGTTGATGTGGGGCCTAGAGGCCTGGGATCTGGGGGAGCCACCCCTGGGGGCAAGTGTCTGCCCTGGTGCTGTACCTGCCTTGTTTTCACAGCGGTGACCCGAAGAGACAGCCTGAGGTCCGTCCTCACTCACTGTGTTTGAGGAACTGAGGGCCAGCTGGCAGTGGGATGAGGCTGGCCCCCTCCTCCGCTTTACTTCCTGGAGGCCTTCCGTAGAGCTGTGGGAGCTGGAGCTGGCATTTCGTTTGAGGCAGGATCTGGTCCGGGAGGTCTGGGATCTCTGGTTATATCTCACTTCTGACCTCTGGGCACGTGCTGCAGCTGTGGCTGAGGCCAAGAAATGTGAGGGGCCTCCATCCACTGCATTGAGTAGTGACCCCGACGTGGGGTTCAATGTGGAGGGGGGAGGGGCTGCTGCGGCAGCTGCAGGAGCCGACCTTGTTCTTCTCATGCCGGCATCCCTGCTTGCAGCTGTGAAGGGGGCAGGAATCATCGAGGTGACCTGGGCTGAGTCCCGGGAGTGGGAAGAGTTGGCAGGAAGGGGATCTGAGGAGGAGAACAGGGGTCCTGGTGGTCTGTGCTTCTTCCCAGACACGGGAGCTGTAGCGGGGACCTCTGCAGCAGATGCTAGGGGGGCCACTAGGCCCAGGCAGTCTTGGGACTTGGGTCTGTCCTGCTGTGCATCCATAGTGGGTGCTTTAGAAACGGGAGGCCCACCCGAAGCCCCTGTTGCAAGTGAGGACAAAGTGTGGGAAGGCCGTGAGGGTCTGCAGTCCGGGATGGCCTTGTCCTCAACGTGCAGTGCACTGTTGATGCGCTGGAATGCCGTCTCTTTTTCCAGGTGCAGGTCTTCAGCCGTGACCCGGTACCCCAGCTCTAAGGGAGGTGGCAGCATCAAAGGCTCCCCTCGCCTGCGTGGCAGCAGGGGAATCTTGCGTCTACGGGGCCTAGAGTCCTGGGATCTGGGGGAGCCACCCGTTGGGGCGATTGTCTGCCCTGGTGCTGTATCTGCCCCCTTTTCACACCGTGTGTGACCCAAAGAGACAGCCTGAGGCCTGTCCTCACTCACTGTCTTTGAGTAACTGAGGGTCAGCTGGCAGCGGGATGAGGCTGGCCCCCTCCTCTGCTTTAGCCCCGGCAAGCCTCCCGTGGAGCTGTAGGAGCTGGAGATGGCATTTCGTTTGGTGCTCGAGCTCGTCCAGGATGTCTGGGATGTGTGGTTATATCTGATTTCTGAGCTCTGGGCGTGGAGGTCTGTCTGCAGAGGCCCGGGCCTGGGCACAAAGGGAGAGGGGCCTCCATTGTCCCGCAGGGGCCAAAATGCAGACCGTGCATCCCCGGTGACCTCGGGGACCGTTCTCTGATCATCAGGATTTTCTTGGACTCTGGGGTCCTTGTGCTGCTCAGGCATCCCTGCCCCGCTCTCCTTGAGGGCCCTCAACACTATCTTCCCTGGACACAAGTCTGGGGACAGCCGGGTGTTGTGGACCCCAAAGGGGTGACTACCTGCTCCTGGGCCCCACAGAGTCCTTGTGCTCAGTGTAGTGGCTGAGCTGGGGGATGCCCTGGAACTCGGAGCACACAGCACTGGCTTACTGTGGTACCTGTGCAGTGAAATTGAAGATAGAATCACCAGGATGGAACACAGGTCTTGCAGGATCACGGAAAACCTTCTTAGAGTTGTCTTGACACCACTGATGTCGAGTGTGCGGGTGTTTGTAGGATGGCCTGCCACTCAGTCCAGGGGCAGGAGCAACGGGGAGATCCCACAAGCAAAGTGAACTGGGGGATGGGCTGAAGGGGCTCCAGGCAACTGAGCCCTACTCGCAGGTCCTCGGCCTTGGCCCAAACAGGAATGAGGGGCACAGAGTGCCCGGGTAACCGCTCCTGGGAGCAGTGGGGAACTGTCGGATACTTGAACTCTCAAGAGCTGGGCTCTGAGCGTCCTCATCCAGCTGCCAACTTGGCCAAAGGCTAAGCCAGCAGATTGTTCTGTTGCCGGGCAACGCGACTTCTAAACCTGAGGGAGTGGGCATGTGAGCACATAATGGCACCAGTGACAGAGCGACCATAATGGATGAATAAGCACAGCCAGGTACCCGCGCAAGGCACCTGCTGGCAATGGCAGGAGGCGGACGTGGGGGGTCGTGCAGTAGGTACTGGAGGGAGAGACGTGGGCACAAAGGTCGCGGGAGGAACAGGTGCCCACAATGGCTGCATATTTGCCCGTGGATCACTGAAGATTCCTGCTCTCCTGCTGAGGTGGAGACTGCAGTGAGCTGAGATCGCACCATTGCACTCCAGCCTGGGCAACGAGTGCAAAACTCAGTCTCCAGATAAAAAAAAGAAAAAGAAAAAAAAGAGGCCGGGTGTGGTGGCTTATGCCTATGATCCTAGCACTTTGGGAGGTCGGGGTGGACGGATCACGAGATCAGGAGTTGGAGGCCAGCCTGGCCAACATAGTGAAAGCCCGTCTCTAGTAAAAATACAAAATTTAGTCAGACATGGTGGGCAGGAGAGAGCATGTGCAGGGGAACATCCATTTATAAAACCATCAGACCTCATGAGACTTATTCACTACCATGAGAACAGCATGGGGGAAACTGCCTCCATGATTCAGTTATCTCCACCTGGCCCCACCCTTGACACATGGGAATTGTTACAATTCAAGATGAGATTTGGGTGCGGACAGAGCCAAACCATATAATTCTTCCCCGGCCCCTCCCAAATCTCATGTCCTCATATTTCAAAAGCAATCGTGCCTTCCCCTAAGTCCCCCAAACTCTTATTTCAGCATTAACTCAAAATTCCATAGTCCAAAGTCTCATCTGAGACAAGGCAAGTCCCTTCCACCTATGAGCCTGTAAAATCAAAAGCAAGTTAGTTATTTTCTAGATACACAGGGATACAGGCATTGGGTAAATACACTCGTTTCAAATGGGAGAAATTGGCCAAAGCAAAAGAGCTACAGGCCCCATGCAAGTCCAAAACCCAGCAGGCAAATCTTAAAGCTCCAAAATGACCTCCTTTGACTCCATGTGTCACATCTAGGTGATGCAAGAAGTGGGTTCCCAGGGTCTTGGGCAGCCCCGCCCCTGTGGCTTTGCAGGGTACAGCCCCCCTTCTGGCTGCATTGAGTGTCTGCAGCTTTTCCAGGCACACAGTGCAAGCTGTCAGTGGATCTACCATTCTGGGGTCTGGAGGATGGTGGCCCTTTTCTCACAGCTCTGCTTGGCAGTACCCCAGTGGGGACTCTGTGTGGGAGCTCCAACCCCATATTTCCCTTTGACACTGCCCTAGCAGAGGTTATCCATGAGGGCCCCCCCCTCCCCTCCCCCCCACAGCAAACTTTTGCCTGGATTTCCAGGCATTTTCATACATCTTCTGAAATGTAGGCGGAGGTTCATGAACGTTAATTCTTGACTTTGGTGCATCTGCAGGCTTAACACCACCTAGAACCTGAAAGGCTTGGAACTTGCACCCTCTGAAGCCATGGCCTGAGGTGTACCTTGGCCCCTTTTACCTATGGCAGGAGCAGCTGGGATGCAGGGCCCCAAGTTCCTAGGCTGCACACAGCAGGGGGTTCTGGACCCACAAAACCATTTTTCCTTCTAAGCCTCCTGGCCTGTGATGGGAGGGTCTGCTGTGAGGGTCTCTAACATGCCCTGGAGACATTTGCCCCATTGTCTTGGTGATTAACATTTGGCTCCTCATTACTTATGCAAATTTCTACAACCCAGTCTCCTGAGAAAATAGATTTTTCTTTTCTGTTGCATCATCAGGCTACAAATTTTCTGAACTTTTATGCTCTGCTTCTTCTCGAATGCTTTGCTGCTTAGAAATTTCTTCTGTCAGATACCTTAAATCATCTCTCTCAAGTTCAAAGTTCCACAGATCTGTAGGGAACTCTAGAAAGAAATTCTTATTTTCCCTCTTTCCCGCCTATCTTATGCCCGTTTCTAATACAGGTGCACAATGCCTGCAGTGTCTTTGCATAGTAAGAGTGACTTTACTCCATTTCCCAACAAATTCCTCATCTCCCTCTGAGACCACCTCCGCCTGGACCTTGTTGTCCATATCACTATTAACATTTTGGTCAAAGCCATTCAACAAGTCTCTAGGAAGTTCCAAACTTTCCCACATTTTCCTATCCTCTTCTGAGCCTTCCAAACTGTTCCAGCCTCTCCCTGTTACCCATTTCCAAAGTTGCTTCCACATTTTCGGGTATCTTTACAGCAGCACCCCACTCTACTGGTATCAACTTATTGTATTAGTCTGTTCTCACACCGCAAATAAAGACATACCTGAGACTGGGTAATTTATAAAGGAAAGAGGTTGAATTGACTCACAGTTCTGCATGGCTGGGGAGGCCTCACAATCATGGTGGAAGGCAAGGAGGTGCAAAAGCATGTCTCACATAGTGGCAGGCAGGAGAGAGCATGTGCAGGGGAGCTCCCATTTATAAAACCATCAGATCTCATGAGACTTAGTCACTACCGCGAGAACAGTATGGGGGGAACCATCCCCATGATTCAGTTATCTGCACCCGGCCCCACCCTTGACACGTGGGAATTATTACAATGCAAGGTGAGATTTGGGTGGGGACCCATCCAAACTATGTCAGTATGTTTTGACTTCTTGCTTGATTGCTAGGTTGCATAGAGGACAAACATGGAAATTAATGAAGTACCTTAATATCTGGCTTCAGATCTTAGACAGGATCAGAGGGCCAGCTCAAATTTGCAAGGAGGGGAGGTAGATCCCACCATTTTATGGGTGAATGGCAAAATCAAACAGAAATTATGTGGGATGGGAGATACTGATGCAGCCATCTTTGGAAACATTCTACTTAGCTAATTTTATGCTAGGCTTTAGGTCAAGAAGGAGAGAGAGAGCTGACATGCTGTGGTACACACTTATAGTCCCAGCGACTTGGAAAGCTGAGGCAGGAGGATTGCTTGATCCCAGGAGTTTGAGGTAGTGTGCGATGATCGTTCTTGTGAATAGCCACTAGCCACTGAACTCCAGCTTGGGCAACATTGAGACACCCTGTCTCTTAATTTAAAAAAAAAAAAAAAAAAAAGGAAAGAAAGTGGTCTCAGTTTTTAATGTAAGTATTTTTAATGGGATAATGATATTTTAAGATTAATGTATATTGTATATCAGTTAACTGTAGGTCAATAATTATATAAAACTTAAGGTATGAAAAACATTTATTTTTGCTAACATATCTGTGAGTTGACTGTTCTTGGCTTGGTGAGGCTGCAAGCTGCAGATAGAGTCTAGGTATGTTTTCTGTGTGTTTGTTCCCCCTTGGATCAGTGGACTACCTGAGAATGTGTTTTTGTCACAGTGATAGAATCACAAGGAAACTCCAGTTCTGGAAGTACATTTTAAGCCATTGCTTCTCTCATGTCCACTAACATTCAGTCAGCCAAAGCACATACCTTGTCCATGGCTAACATTGATAGTATAGATAAATATACCTGATCTCTAGCAGGAGGAACTGCATTGTCTTGGGGAAAGGTTTTAGATATAGGGAGGGGTGATGAGTTGGGAACAATAATGTAGTCTGCCACAAACATATTAAAGTGTAACTGGATATGGTTGCTGCAGAATTTTGAACCTTTGTTTTAATTGTGATTTTTACTCTTTTCCCCCTATCTAGTGCCCTTTTGTAATACAGTAATTATCATGATTTTTGTCTGAACTGAAATCTTCTGAGATTAGATTGTCTACGAAAATACAGTCGATCCTCCTTGTTTTCAGCTTTTGTATTTGTGAACTCACCTACTATTTTTTGTAACCCCCAAATCAGTACTCACAGCACTTTCATAGTCATGTGTTTGCGCAGAGTGTCAAAGAATTTGAGTTTGAACAGGATGATATTCTGCCTTCTTTTTCAGCTCTCATACAATAGTCAGGTATCCTTTTTGTGGTCTATTTAATGCCATGCTTTTCCTGTTTTTGTGCTGTTTGTTGGTTGTTTTGCCATTTAAATTAACCCCCAAGCATAGTGCTGAAGTGCTGCTTAGCATTCACAAGTCCAAGAAGTCTGTGATGTGTCTTACAGAGAAAATACATGCATTAAATAAACTCCATTCAGGCGTGAGTGCTGTAGTGCCGTTGGCTGTGAGTTCAATGTTAATGAATGAACAATGTATATTATTTATTTATTCTTCATTTAATTAATTATTATTATTATTTTTTTTGAGATAGAGTCTCACTCTGTTGCTCAGGCTGGAGTGCAGTGGTGCAGTCTTGGCTCACTGCAACCTCTGCCTCCTGGGTTCAAGCGATTCCCCTGCCTTAGCCTCCCAAGTAGCTAAGACTACAGGCATGCGCCACCATGCCTGGCTAATTTTTTTTTTTTTTTTTTTTTTTTTGTAGTTTTAGTAGAGACGGGGTTTCACCACGTTGGCCAGGCTGGTCTCGAACTCCAGACCTCAAATGATCTGCCCGCCTTGGCTTCGCAAAGTGCTGGGATTACAGGCGTTAGCCACTGTGCCTGGCCAACAATATATATTAAATAAGCACACATACAACAAAAGTAGGTGTTGGTAAGCTTACAAAAGTGTGACCAGTAGCTTGCTGAAACCTAACTTTTTATTTGTTCATGGAACTTTCTAGACCGTAACTACACTGAATAATGAGAATCTGCTGTAATCTTTTTAGGTGCTGTAGATGAGCCATTGGATTAAATTATTACAGTATGTTTCAGACTGCTGTATGTTGAACCCTAGTGAAATGCCTCTCAAACCTTCATAAGGATCACAATCTCATGTCCTTTTTTTTTGTTATTAAATGCCCAGTATGTGTTAGCGATTTAAACAAAATTCAAATATTTTTTTTTTTTTTTGAGACAGAGTCTCGCTCTGTCACCTAAGCTGGAGAGTGCAGTGGTATGATCTCGGCTCACTACAACCTCTGCCTCCCGGGTTCAGGCGATTCTCCTGCCTCAGCATCCTGAGTAGCTGGGATTACAGGCACCCGCCACCACGCTGGGCTAATTTTTGTATTTTTAGTAGAGACGGGGTTTCGCCAGGTTGTCCAGGCTGGTCTGGAACTCCTGACCTCATGCGATCTGCCTGCCTTGGCCTCCTGAAGTGCTGGGATTATAGGCGTGAGCCACCATGCCCGGCGTTGACTTCTTAATAATAACCATACTGACTGGTGTGAGATGGTATGCCATTGTGGTTTTGATTTGCATTTCTCTAATGATCAGTGATATTGAGCTTTTTCTCATATGCTTGTTGGCCGCATGTGTGTCTTCTTTTGAAGTGTCTGTTTATGTCCTGTGCCCACTTTCTAATGAGATTTTTTTTTTTCTTGTAAATTTGTTTAAGTTCCTTATCAGTGTTGGACATTAGATCTTTGTCACATGCATTGTTGCAAAAATTTTCTCCCATTCTGTAGGTTGTCTGTTCACTCTGTTGATAGTTTCTTTTGCTGTGCAGAAGCTTCAAGAAGAAAGGAATCCGATTGGTTCTGTGTCTGTCTCTTTTGGTATTCTCAGAATTATGTAGTCATTCATATAGAAAGATGATTAGGAAAATAGGACAAGAATAGCAGAAATCTACATAAAAATGTAGGAAATTAAAATTAGTTACCAGCATACAAAAAACTTCTGTATGTTATAATTACATACTATAACTCACCCCTCCTTGGCAAATATTCTCTCTCTTTTAACTTCAAAATCATGGCTTATATGTACTTTCTCTATTTCCCAGATGCAAATATAATTAATTGACTTTATTTATCTAGGAAATGTTACTCATATCTTAATTGTAGTCATTGGCTTGAGTGACGGGTTTTGGTAATTCAACTACTATTACTTGAAAGTAGTAGATTTCATAGGATACTGTTATAAAATCTTTTTAACCTCTTTTCTGATTTCAGGAGTAATTAGTAATTGTGGTTTACTGGAAAATTCAATGAATAGGGTGTTAAAGGAAGCAATTCATTAATAATATATCTAATCTATTGGGAGACTGAGGCGGGTGGATCACCTGAGTTCAGGAGTTCGAGACCAGCCTGGCCAACATGGCAAAACTCCGTCTCTACTGAAAATAGAAAAATTCGCCGGGCATGGTGGTGCATTCCTGTATTCCCAGGTACTCGGAAGGCTGAGGCAGGAGAATCACCTGAACTCCAGAGGTGGAGGTTGCAGCGAGTCAGGATCGCAGCACTACACTGCAGCCTGGGTGACAGTGAGACTCCATCTCAAAAAAAAAAAAAAAAAAATTAAAAAATTAAATTAAAAGCGGGCTGGGCGCATTGGTTCAGGGCCGGGCACGGTGGCTCAAGCCTGTAATCCCAGCACTTTGGGAGGCCGAGGCAGGCGGATCACGAGGTCAGGAGATCAAGACCATCCTGGCTAATGTGGTGAAACCCCGTCTCTACTAACAATACAAAAATTAGCTGGATGTGGTGGCAGGTGCCTGTAATCCCAGCTATTCCAGAGGCTGAGGCAGGAGAATCACTTGAACCTGGGAGGCAGAGGTTTCAGTGAGTCCAGATCATGCCACTGCACTCCAGCCTGGGTGACAGAGCGAGATTCTATCTCAAAAAAAAAAAAAAAAAAGCAACAGAAGCAAATGAGAGTGCCTGGGAGTGGTCATTGTGGGGCCTTCCCGTTTGTGTGACCCAGGTCATGTCCCTCCCTAAGCCCTGGTCTCTCTTGCCTCCTGCAGGGCTGGTGAATTACCAGATCTCCGTCAAGTGCAGTAACCAGTTCAAGTTGGAAGTGTGTCTTTTGAATGCAGAAAACAAAGTCGTGGACAACCAGGCTGGGACCCAGGGCCAGCTGAAGGTGCTGGGTGCCAACCTCTGGTGGCCGTACCTGATGCACGAACACCCCGCCTCCCTGTACTCGTGGGAGGTAATGGTGGTTTGGGACTTGCGTAAGGGAGGTCTTTTGCCCCCATCTGGTAGCCCTGGCTTCAGCAGGAGCCCAGGACAGGTGAACGGGCAGGTGTGGTCCTCTGAGCTTTCTGATGTTTCCCACCCTTGGTGGGAGGCCCAGATTTTTTATTTATTTATTTATTTATTTATTTGTTTGTTTGTTTGTTTTTGTGATGGTCTCACTCTGTCACCCAGGCTGGAATGCAATGGCCTGATCACAGCTCACTGCAGCTTTGAGCTGCAATTCTCCTACCTTGGCCTCCTGAGTAGCTGGGACTACAGGCACATGCCACCATGCCTGGCTAATTAAAAAAATTTTTTTTGTAGGCCGGGCATGGTGGCTCACACCTGTAATCCCAGCACTTCGGGAGGCTGACGCGGGCAGATCACTTTAGGCCAGGAGTTGGAGACCAGCCTGGCCAACATGGTGAAACCCCGTCTCTACTAAAATATGAAAATTTGCAGGGCATGATGGTGCACGTCTGTAATCCCAGCTACTCGGGAGGCTGAGGCAGGGGAATTGCTTGAACCCAGGAGGCAGGGGCCACGGTGAATTGAGATCATGCCGCAGCACTCTATCCTGGGTGACAGAGTGAGACTGTCTCAAAAAAAAAAACTCCTTTTTATAGAGTTGGGGTCTTACTAGGTTGCCCAGGCTGGTCTTGAACTCCTGGACTCAGGTGATCCTCCTGCCTTAGCCTCCCAAGGTGTAGGGATTCCAGGCATGAGCCACCTCGTCTGGTCAAGGAGAAGGCCTGATTTTGAAGGGCAGGTCCCAGGGTCAGCCAGTGAAGGGCAGAGCCTCTGATTGCTGCTTCTCTGCAGGCCCAGTGGCGACTTCTGGAGTGCATGCACGAGGGGTCTTCCTGCTGTAGGGCAGGCCAGATGGGGCTCAGGCTGTCGGGGCGCTCACACCTGGCGCTTTGGCTGTCGTAGGTGCGGCTGACTGCACAGAAGTCACTGGGGCCTTTGACTTCTACACACTCCCTGTGGGGCTCCGCACTGTGCCCGTCACCGAGAGCCAGTGGGTGAGAGCCAGTTTCATTTGCGGTAGAGGCAGCAGAGGTTGTAGAAATGCTCCTTGAGGCAGATGCCACACCCCAATTTCATGGAGTGATTTGGGCTGAGCCGAGTCTGCAGCAGGCAGAAGGCTCTGAGATGTTGTCCTAGCCTGGGCAAAGGACAATTCAGAGCTCGGGGGAATAGGGGTGTGCTCAGCACGACTGGGTGGACAGGCCGTTTGTTGTGAATCGTACAGGCTTCCAGGAGTGGGTGCCTGAGGCTTCCAGACAGGCTTTGGGAGGTGGCCAGAGGAGATGCCTGTTTCCGGGGCAGGAAATGGAGGGAGGGCCCAGGCTGGAGAGGTTCAGCCAGGCTGTCACAAGGCTTTGAAGCTTCCCATCTGAGAGCCTGGCTATTGGAGAGTGTGGGTTTGGAACTTGAGGCTAGGAGGTTCTATTCTGTCCTGTGCCAGCCACAGCCTTCGGATGGGCAGAGCAATGATGGGGGGAAGATGTAAAAGAAAAGAACTGAGGAAAGAAGAAGAAAACCAGCTTCAACAACGGTCTAGGCCGGATGCGGTGGGTCACGCCTGTAATCCCAGCAGTTTGGGAGGCTGAGGTGGGTGGATCACCCGAGGTCAGGAGTTCGAGACCAGCCTGGTCAACAGGTAGTGAATCCTGTCTCTACTAAAAATACAAAAATTAGCTGGGCATGGTGGTGGACGTCTGTAATCCCAGCTACCAGGTAGGCTGAGGCAGGAGAATCGCCTCAGGTGAACCAGGAGGCAGAGATTGCAATGAGCTGAGATAATGCCACTGCATTCCAGCCTGGGCTACAGAATGAGACTCTGTATCTCAACAAAACAAAACAAAACAAAAACACAACAGTCTGTTCTGTGGAGGCCTTGGGCAGATGCTGGGAGCTCTGAGCACGGACTGGTCCCTCTGTTGGGAGCCTCTTCCCTTCATCCCTCCTGGTTAACTTGACTCAGCATAAAGGCCATTTCTTCTAAGAGCCTGTCCCTGACTCTCCAATCGGGGATGTGTCTGTTGTCTCATAGAGTGCCCAATTCCTGCCACCACTTGTCATTTCCATTCGCAACATTTCTTTCATTGTTTGTTTTTCAGAGTCAGGGTCTCACTCTGTTGCCCAGGCTGGAGT
Source organism: Homo sapiens (assembly GCF_000001405.40). Lineage (NCBI taxonomy): Eukaryota > Metazoa > Chordata > Mammalia > Primates > Hominidae > Homo > Homo sapiens. Next base: position 987,789 of record NW_025791777.1, on the reverse strand, counting down.
GCAGTGGTGCAATCATAGCTCGTTGCCATCTCGACCTCCTGGGCTTAAGCGATCCTCCCCACTCAGCCTCCCAAATAGCTGGGACCACAGACGTGCGCTGCCTTGCCAGGCTAAATTTTAATATTTTTTTTTTCCCCACGAGTCAGAGTCTTGCTCTGTCTCCCAGGCTGGAGAGCAGTGTTGCGATCTTGGCTCACTGCATCCTCTACCTCCTGGGTACAAACAGTTCTCCTGCCTCACCCTCCCGAGTAGCTGGGATTACAGGCTCACGCCACCATGCCCAGCTAGTTTTCTTCTTTATTTTTTGTTGAGATGGGGTTTCACCATGTTGGCCAGGCTGGTCTCGAACTCTTGAGCTCGTGATCCACCTGCCTTGGCCTCCCAAAGTGCTCACAGGCTTGAGCCACCATGCCCGGCCCTAATTTTTAAATTTGTTGTAGAAACAAGGTCTTGCTATGTTGTCCAGGCTGGTCTCAAGCGCCTGGTCTCAAGTAAGCCTCCCAAAGTGCTGGGGTTCTAGGCGTGAGCCACCTCGCCTGGCACTTGCACCGTTTTTCTGTGCATGCATCTCCACTCCCACTGCCCAGGACCTGTGGACTTAGATTTGAGTCATTACTGAGCACCTAGCACCCAGCCTCATGCCTACCTCCCACCTCGCACTACCTGTTTGCTTGATGCATTAATAAATATTCCACCTGAATCCACAGCCCATTCACTCCTGTGTTCAAGAGCTATTTCAGGAAGTGAACCTCATTTCTGGCAGTGTTCAGTCCAGTGACCTCAGCTCTGTGTACCCGGCAGGGTGGCTACGCCTCTGGGGGAGTTGGATTCAGGGGTGGGGGAGAAAGAGTGTTGTTAGAGAGCTCGGTCTAGGACTAGAGGAACGTGCCCTTATGTAAAATACATCTCAAGTTAGGGAAGAAAGCAGCGGCTCTGTGCTTTGTTTTTTTTTTTTTTTTTCCTTTTTTTTCTTTCTTTTTTTTTTTTTGTTTGTTTGTTTGTTTGTTTGTTTTGGGGCAGGGTCTTGCTCTGTGGCCCAGGCTGGAGTGCAGTAGCGTGATTTCGGCTCACTGCAACCTCCACCTCCCGGGTTCAAGCAATTCTTGTGCCTCAGCCTCCCGAGTAGCTGGAGTTACAGATGCGTGCCACTATGCCTGGCTAATTTTTGTATATTTAGTAGAAATGGGGTTTTGCCATGTTGGCCAGGCGGTTCTTGAACCCCTGACCTCAGTGATCTGCCTGTCTCAGCCTCCTGAAGTGCTGGGATTACAGGCGTGAGCCATCGTGCCTGGCCCCCAGTTGTGTTCTGGCAGGGGAAGATGGGACAGAGAGGATGGGAGGGTGTCTGAGCCTTTCCCGGACTGACGGAACCTGTGTCTTCTCTCTTTTGTGGACAGGATGGTGATTGCTCACACCAAAGCCTTGGACCCCTCCCAGCCTGTGACCTTTGTGACCAACTCCACCTACGCAGCAGACAAGGGGGTGAGCCTGGGGGTCCCCACCCCATTTCTCCCTGCCTTTGCCTGGGCTTGTCCTGAAGCCTGCTCATGGGAACAGCTGGAAAGAACCATGTGCTGCCAGTCTGAGCTTTTTATTTTGTTTTACTTAGAAAGATAGAGACAGGGTCTTGCCATGTTGCCCAGGCTGGTCTCGAACTCCTGGGCTCAAGTGATCCTCCTGCCTCGGCCTTCCAAAGGGCTGGGGTTACAGGCGTGTGCCACCGCACTCAGCCGCAGCCAGTCTGTTTTCAAAGATGGTCTTTGGGTTAATGACAATTCTCTCTCTGCTTACTCTCCAGGCAGTGTGGCTTTCTGAATCCAAGGAGGCTGGGCATAGGGAGATGGGATTTGTTTGCCCGGTTTGGACTCAGCATTTTTTGTACTCGATTTAATAGACTCATAAAATGTCAAAGGTTTAAGTGAGCTTAGAGTTCATCTGGCCCAAACCTGGCTGATCAGAATCTCCAGGGGAAGTTTTATTGAAATGCCAGATCTCTGCGTTCTGAGATCCTGATTTAGTAACTCCAGGGTTGGAACCTGAGTTTTTTGTTTTTTTGTGTGTGTGTGTGAAGGCAAGGTCTTACTCTGTTGCTCTGGCTGGAGTGCAGTGGTGTGATCACAGCTCACTGCAGCCTTGAATTCCTGGGCCTAAGCAACCCTCTTGCCTCAGCCTTCCAAGTAGCTGGGACTCCGGGTGTACACCACTGTGCCCGGCTAATTTTAAATGTTTTTGTAGAGATGGGATCTCACTATGTTGCCCAGGCCAGTCTCAAACTCTTGAGCTCAAGTGATCCTCCTGCCTTAGCCTCCTAAAGTGCTGGGATTACAGGCATGAGCCACCGTGCCTGGCTGATACTAGCATTCTTTTTTATTTTTTATTATTTTTTTAAGATAGAGTCTTGCTCTGTTGCCCAGGCTGGAGTGCAGTGGCACAGTCTCAGCTCAGTGCAACCTCCGCCTCCCAGGTTCAAGCAATTCTCCTGCCTCAGCCTCCCAAGTAGCTGGGATAACAGGCACATGCCACCACGCCTGCGCTTGATCGTGGGAGGCAGAGGTTGCATTATTGTGCCACTCCATTCTAGCCTGGGCAACAGAGCGAGACTCTGTCTTCCAAACAAAGCGGAAAAAGATTATCTGCGAGAATGACTGCATTGGCCCCTTGGGTGGGAGGGCTTCTCCAGGGCAAGGTGAGGGGATGCCCAGTGCTGGGAGTGCTGCCTGGAGAGGAGTCAGTTCCAGTGGCGGGGGCCCTGGGTTTTGGCTGAGGACTGCGTGTTGGCAGCTGCTCTGCCTCTCACAGCCCTTCCCAGCTGCACACGTCGTGAGCGTCAGTGTGCAATCACAGGCCTGCCTCCTTTGGGCCACTTTGTGACCATGTTTTTTGCTTGTGGGGCAGGGTAATTTCAGGATCTAAATTGGTGCAGTTGGATGTTCTCAGCCCCGAGAGGCAGCTCTTCCCGTTGTAGGCTTTTTGTTTTGTTTTGTAGAAATGGAGTCCTACGATGTTGCCCAGGCTGGTCTCAAACTCCTGGGCTCAAGTGATCCTCCCACCTTGGCCTCCCAATGTGCTGGGATTACAGGCATGAGCCACTGTGCCGTGCTGATTTTCTTGATACTATTTTTTGTAGAGCTGGGGTCTTGCTGTGTTGCCCAGGCTGGTCTCGAACTCCTGGCCACAAGCCACCCTCCTGCCTCAGCCTCCCAGAGTGCTGGGATTACATCCCCTTCTTACCTTCTCTGTCAGAGGAGCCCCCACAGCATGTGAGTACTGAGTCATGCGGTCTTGTGGTTGCTGAACGGGCTCTGCTGCTCTGGTCCTAGGCTCTGTATGTGGATGTGATCCGTGTGAACAGCTACTACTCTTGGTATCGCAACTACGGGCACCTGGAGTTGATTCAGCTGCAGCTGGCCGCCCAGTTTGAGAATTGGTGTAAGACATCACAATCCCATTATTCAGAGCGCGTATGGAGTGGAAACGCTTGTAGGGTTTCACCAGGTAAGCGGTGTTGAACTTCCTGCTTGTGTATTCTCTCTGGGCAGAGATGCCACTTGCCTCCCCCACCCTGCCCTGCGCCCACTGCAGTGCTCCCCTTGCTTCAGCTTTGGGCTCACCTCCCGCTACCCTGTCCACGTTCCCTTCTCACCAGCAGCCAGGCCTCTGCCCCACTCGCTTGGTCCTCAAAGGTGGACTCCTTACTGGCATTGTTTCCAGACAGCCTCCTATCACCCGTGCCCAAGTGGTCTTTCTAAGAAATCCAAATTTTTATGTGTTTTTGAGACCGCCTCTCTCTCTGTCACCCAAGCTGGAGTGCGGTGGTGCGATCACTGCTCCCTGCAGCCTTAACCTCCTGGGCCCAAGCGATCTTCCCACCTCAGCCTCCTGAGTATCTGGGACCATAGGCACAGGCCACCATGCCTGGCTAATTTTTTTACTTTTGTAGAGATGGGGCCTTGTTGTGTTCCCTGGGCTGGTCTTGAATTCCTGGGATCAAGTGACCCTCCTGCCTCAGGCTCACAAAGCGCTGGGATTTACAGGTGTGAGCCACTGTGCCCGGCCACAAATCAAAATTTTTGAGTCCTGTCATTGGCTCCCCCAGGCCCATAGGACAAAGTCCTAACCCCTAGTCAGGACACTCAGTGTCCTCTGCTCTCTCCTGGGTTTTCATCCTCTTCTCTTCTCACTCCTGGCCACTGATCTGTTTCCACTGCCCTCATTTGCTCTCCTGCTCTTGCTTGAGCTATTCTTTCTGCCTGGAATGCCCAAGTTGGCACCATAATCACCAACTAAAAGATCCTTTTCTTTTTATTATTTTAGAGATAGGGTCTTGCTATGTTGCCCAGGCTGGTCTCAAACTCCTGGACTCAATTGATCTTTTTGCCTTGGCCTCCCAAAGTTCTGGGATTAACAGGTGTGATCCACTGTGCTAGCCTTTTTTTATTTTTTATTTTTTTCCTGACAGGGTCTTGTTCTGTTGCCCAGGCTGGAGTGTGGTGGTGTCATCATAGCTCACTGCAGCCTCGAACTCCTGGGCTGAAGCAATTCTCCTGCCTCAGCCTCCTGAGTAGCTGGGACTACAGGCGTGCACCACCATGTGCAGCCTAGTTTTAAAATATTTGTAGAGATGAGTCTCGCTATCAGGCTGGTCTTCACCTCCTGTCTTGGACTCCCAAAGTGCTGGGAATACAGGCATGAGTCACGACACGTGGCTGAAAAGATTCCTGTTTGGCATCTGAGTCTCCTCATAGCTGTCCCCTCTGTGGGGAGGTTTACCCTGCCTGCCCCAGGCGGAGGGAACCTTCCCCGTGCTCTGCCCTGTTGCAGCCGGAACCTGGCTCTCCCAACATTCTCGCCAGGCACCGTTGTTATTTCTTTGGCTCTCTCTTTGATCGGACTGTGGGCTCAGGAGACAGGAGTCCTATTTATTGTTGTTTCCCAGGTACTCTGCAATAGCTGACACAGTACATGCTAAATAATACCTATTGAGGGCATGGGTGAGATCTTAGAGCCATGTTTAATCACTCACTTTGTCTTTTTTTTTTTTTGAGATGGAGTCTCACTCTGTCACCCAGGCTGAAGTGCAATGGTGTGATCTCAGCTCACTGCAACCTCCACTTCCTAGGCTCAAGCGATTGTCCTGCCTCAACCTCCCAAGCAGCTGGGATTACAGGCACCTGCCACCATGCCCAGCTAATTTTTGTATTTTTGTAGAGGTGGGGTTTTGCCATGTTGGCCAGGCTGGTCTTGAGCTCCTGACGTCAAGTGATTTGCCTGCTTCCGCGTCCCAAAATCCTGGGATTACAGGCCTGAGCCACCATGCCTGGCCTGTCCTCATTTGTTTATCCATCTCATTTTTTGTCCTTCTCACCAAAGATATGTTGCTTTGTCTTGTGGGGTTTTTTTCATGTGGATTCCTGAACCCCATCCAGCCCCTTGTCCCCTCCCCAGCCAGCTCACACTCTTTTGCACAGCTCCTGGGACTCCCGTTGACACACAGGGAACAGCCACCCACAATGGACTGCACTGTTCTGTTTGCACCCTTAAATTTATCGTGCTTACAGAATGACACTTCTGTAAACTAGTCAAGTAGGGGGAAGTGATTTGTGGATATGCACCCTTGTTCATTCTCTTTGAAAAGGTAACCAGCTCTGAATTCTTTCTCCTTTTAGGAGGAGTTTCACTTGTCGCCCAGGCTGGAGTGTAGTGGTGCAATCTTGACTCACTGCTACCTCCGCCTCCCAGGTTCAAGCAATTCTCCTGCACCAGCCTCCCAAGTAGCTTGGATTACAGGCATGCACCACCATGCTCACCTAATTTTTTTTTTTTTTTTTTTTTTTTTTTAGTAGAGATGAGGTTTCACCACGTTGGTCAGGCTGGTCTTGAACTTTTGACCTCAAGCGATCCACCTGCCTTGGCCTCCCAAAGTGCTGGAATTACAGGCATGAGCCACCATACCCAGCCCCAGTTCTGAATTCTTAAGAAACTCGAGAGGGTCTAGGTGAGCATTGATAGAACCTCTGCAGTGCTGGGTGTGCTGGCTCACACCTGGAATGCTAGCCCTTTGGGAGACCGAGGTCAGAGGATCTCTTGAGCCCAGGAGTTTGAGACCAGTCTGCACAACATGGACCCCATCTCTACAAAATATTTAAGATGAGTTGTGGCTGGGTGCAGTGGCTGACGCCTGTAATCCCAGCACTTTGGGAGGCTGAGGTGGGTGGATCACGAGGCCAAGAGTTCAAGTCCAGCCTGACCAAGATGGTGAAACCCCGTCTCTACTAAGAAAACACAGAAATTAGCTGGGTGTGGTGGCATGCACCTGTAATCCCAGCTACTCAGGAGGCTAAAGCAGGAGAATCGCTTGAACTGGGGAGGTGGAGGTTGCAGTGAGCCGAGATTGTGCCACTGCACTCCAGCCTGGGCGACAGAGCAAGACTCCGTCTCAAAAAAAAAAAAAAAAAATAGTTGGGTATGGTCGTGCTTGCCTCTAGTCCCAGCTACTTGGGAGGCTGAGGTAGGAGGACTGTTTGAGCCCAGTAGGTCAAGGCTGCAGTCCGCCATAATTGCACCACTGTACTCCCACCTGGGTGACAGAGTGAGACCTTGTTTCAAAAAAGAACCTTTGCAATGATGGAAATGCCCCATGTCTGCACTGTCTGAAATGGTAGCCACTAGCTACATGTGGCTATTGAGGTCTTGATATATGACTAGGATAACTGAATTTATTTGGTTTAATTAAAAAAAATTTTTTTTTGAGACAGCCTTACTCTGTTGCCCAGGCTGGAGTGCAGTGGCGTAATCACAGCTCACTGCTCAACCTCCTGGGCTCAAGTGATCCTTCCTCCTCGGCCCCCCAAGTAGCTGGAGCCACAGTCATGCGCCACTACACCTAGCGAATATTTAGCCTTTTTATAGAGACTGGGTTTTACTGTGTTGCCTAGGCTGATCTTGAACTCCTGAGCTCAAGTGATCCTCCTGCCTCGACCTCCCAAAGTGCTGGGATTACAGACCTGAGCTACCATGCCCAGCCTGGTTTAGTTTAATTTCATTTTACATTCATTCATTCATTCATGAGATAGGGTCTTGTTCTGTCACCCAGGCTGGAGTGTAGTGGTGCAAACCACAGCTTTGACCTCCGGGACTGAAGCAGTCCTCCCACCTCAGCCTCCCAAGTAGCTGGGACCACAGGTGTGTGCCTCCATGCTTGGCTAACTTTTGTACTTTTTGTAGGCTAGTCTTGAACTCCTAGGCTCAAGCAGTCCTCCCACCTCGGTCTCCCAAAGTGCTTGGATGACAGACATGAGCCAGCGCGCCTGACCTAAAGACATATTTTTCCTTCTAGTGTAGTTCAGCCTTAAGACTGTATCAGCAGACAGAGACGGAAAAGTAAGAAAAATTGAGTATCAGTTTATATTTATAAATAAAGCAGTTGCTAATTGATGGTTTTTTTTTAAACCTCCTTTTTAATTCTGGGTTACATCATTCCCTGGCTGTCGTTTCTTTTTTTGTATTTTTTTATTATTATTATTATACTTTAAGTTTTAGCGTACATGTGCACATTGTGCAGGTTAGTTACATACGTATACATGTGCCATGCTGGTGTGCTGCACCCACTAACTCGTCATCTAGCATTAGGTATATCTCCCAATGCTATCCCTCCCCCCTCCCCCCACCCCACAACAGTCCCCAGAGTGTGATGTTCCCCTTCCTGTGTCTATGTGATCTCATCGTTCAATTCCCACCTATGAGTGAGAATATGCGGTGTTTGTTTTTTTGTTCTTGCGATAGTTTACTGAGAATGATGATTTCCAATTTCTCCCTGGCTGTCTTTACCCTAGCATCAGTGAGTCCTGCAGTCCCTACAGCCCCCAGTGAGGACAGATATTTTGGTCACCATCAAGTGGATCTTTATTTTTATCTAACATTTACAATTCTGCCAGTTCTTACTCTTAATTCTCTTTGCCTTGAATCCCAGGATCCACCTCTGATGTTCAGTGAAGAGGACCGGAAAAGTCTGCTAGAGCAGTACCATCTGGGTCTGGATCAAAAACGCAGAAAATACGTGGTTGGAGAGCTCATCTGGAATTTTGCCGATTTCATGACTAACCAGTGTAAGTGGCAGTTTAGCGCATGGGATAATGTACCCGTCCTCATTTTTTCAGGTTGCCTTGCCCATTCTGGACATTTTGGCTGTAAGAATATTGGAAACAAAGGGGGGAACCTGGTTTAATCCATGTAGGTTGTGTTGAGAATTTCCTAGGAAAAGTAAGTTGTGCTTAGGAAGTAGGAAAGCAGTCAGGCCCCCGCTTCCCACGTACGGTCAAAAAGCAAACATGAGAGTCTGCTATAGTGAGATGGAAATGGCTAGCTTGCCTTTTTCTTGTCTATTTCATAGCCAAGGATGAAGGAAAAACTGGACCTCATTATGGATTTACTTTTGGGATACACTCATTATTCCAGAGGAGGGTAAAAGGCTGAGAAGCTTAAGGTATTTCAGTCTGTTTTATGTTACTCATTTGCGAAAAGCAGGCTCATCGAATACAGGTGAGTTTCAACGCGTCTTGAATATGGCAGCATTTAAAAGTCTTCAGACCAGGCATGGTGGCTCATGCCTGTCATCCCAGCACTTTGGGAGGCCAAGGTGGGAGGATTGCTTGAGGCCAGGAGTTCGAGACCAGCCTGTTCAGCATAGCAGGACCCCCATCTCTACAAAAACTAAACAGATTAGCTAGGTGTGGTGGTGTGTGCCTGTAGTCCTAGCTGCTTGGGAGGCTGAGGCAGGCGGATAGCCTGAGCACAGGAGTTGGAGGCTGCAGTAAGCCATGATTACACCACTGCACTTGAGCCTGGGCAGCAGAGTGAGACCTGTCTTTAAAAAAAAAAAGGAGCTGGGCACGGTGGCTCATGCCTGTAATCCCAGCACTTTGGGAGGCCGAGGCAGGCAGATCACGAGGTCAGGAGATCGAGACCATCCTGGCTAACAGTGAAACCCTGTCTCTACTGAAAATACAAAAAAAATCAGCCGGGCGTGGTGGCGGGTGCCTGTAGTCCCAGCTGCTCGGGAGGCTGAGGCAGGAGAATGGCATGAACCCAGGAGTTGGAGCTTGCAGTGAGCCGAGATTGTGCCACTGCACTCCAGCCTGGGCGACAGTGAGACTGCTTCTCAAAAAAAAAAAAAAAAAAAAAAAAAAAGAAAGGGTCTTCAAAGACAATAAGATCTGTGCTCTCACGTAGGGTGGATGAGGGGCTGCCAAGTTAGCAATGAATGTTTCCCATTTCTTCTTAGTTTATGGACTTTCCATAAACTCAGGATGGCAGTTTGGTTGGTTGGAGAAGGATATGGTGATGGCGGGAGTTACAATACATTACTTATAGGGGAAGATAGGCTTTTGAAAGGTTAAAGCTTAAATGTGAGAGTGGAAAAGGGATGAATGAATGAACATGATGAGGTGAGAGGGAAGAGGTAAAGGGAAAAGGAGAACAAGAAACTCTTCTCTGCGTGGCACCTGGGATGAATGGTTTCTGGGGACATCCCTGATGGCAGTTTTGTGGAGAGGTGCAAAGCTTTATGTGTTAAGAAATGAGCTGTAGGCTCAGTGCAGTGGCTCACGCCTGTAATCCCAGCACTTTGGGAGGCCGAGGTGGGTGAAAAGAAAAAATGGGCTGGGCGCCGTGGCTCACGCCTGTAATCCCAGCACTTTGGGAGGCCGAGGTGGGCGGATCATGAGGTAAGGAGTTCGAGAGCAGCCTGGCCAACATGGTGAAACCGTGTCTCTCCAAAAAAATAGAAAAAACATCCCTGTATGGTGGTGAGCACCTGTAGTCCCAGTTACTCAGGAGGCTGAGGCATGAGAATCGCTTAAACCTCGGAGGCGGAGGCTGCAATGAGCTGAGATGGTGCCACTGCACTCCAGCCTGGGTGACAGAGCTGGGTGGTGGCTCAAGATATGTTTTGTAAACCTGAAGATTTGAGATCATATAAGCCAAATCGAAACTTAATTGGCATTCATAACTTTTGGTTCTAGAGACTCCATGATCAACTAAGAGCCACCAAACATTTCCCATGTAGACTATTTTGACCATGCTGACTCTACTGACACTGTGGTTACTGAATTCACTTTATCTCTAGAAATTAATTCTTACTAATGGATGTCTGTCACTGTAAGATCCTTCTCTCCTCTGAAATAAGGAGAACATTTTAACTTCAGTAGTTTAAACTAGTGTCCTAAACTATAGCATTCAAAATGAGATAATATGCTAAAGTAATACACAAACCAAAAATCCCAGTGGCTAACACAAAAAGTTTTTCTTATTCATTTTACATATCCAGGGTAAGTCAGTAATAGACGCAGACACACCCAGAGACCAAGGATGAGTTGTGATCTGTCTGCACACATAGTTCACAATGCCTGAGTGAGTTGTGCTTTGGCCTTTAAACTTCCACTCATGTTTAATTAATAAAGATTTTGCTCAAATGCCATTTGATGATGAGTTTCATGACGATGATCAACTTTAAAAGAACTTGGAAGTACAATCCTCAAGCGTTTCTGGAAATAGCAGAACTACAATATTTGAGAAAAATATTTTTTAATGTATAAAAAATTGGCAGGGTAGGCTAGCAAGCAAGAGACCTAGAGAAAAGTTGATGTTACAGTCTCAAGTCGAAAGGCAATCTGCAGGCAGAATTATTTCCTTGAGGGATCTCAGTCTTTTAATATAATCAATTGACTGGATGAGCCCTACAATATTTTGGAAAATAATCTGCTTTTCTCAGAAATTACTGATTTTCATGTTAATCTCATCTAACAATACTTTCAGAGCAACATCTATACTGGTATTTGAATATATAACTCTTTTATCTTTTAAAATATCAAATAATACAGTTATATATACATACACACATATGTATATATGTCACCTAAATTGTAGATATCAGAAATCAGAATGCTGTGATATGAATATTTAGTATATTTTAATCATGATAAATTATACATCCTTCTACCTTATGATAATGGATTTTAAGATCTATGCTGTTAAACTCTATATTTATCCTTTAATTCATATCTTGCTTATTTTACATTTATCTGAGAATACATTGGGTCTACTAAATCTTTACTATCATTCACAAGTCTTACATCTTAAGATAACTTTTCAATAAAATAAAAATTCTTCATTGCACCTAGAAAGGAGCAGGGTTTTGAAAGCGATCAATGATTACTCTGATACCTAATATAATAATATAATATAGTAAAAATCAAAATACTTGAATGAAAAATGTAAAATTAATAGTTTTGCTTTCATTGTTTTTATTCCAGTGTCTATTTTAGAATGTTTTTACTCTAATTGTGTTTTTATGCAAAACCAAATGAGCTTTAGATAATTCCATTGATACATTACATATGAAAGTTCTCGTTAAATAGGATATAGCATATTTTACTTAAAAATCCAAATTATAAAATAAAGAGGGATTTTAAGTTGAGTCTAAAATTTTTGTTTCAATTTTGTTTTTATTTAAAGACTTGCTATAATTCTGTGAGAGAGCTATAAAAGTCTGCTCAGAAACATTATAATGTAAAATGGACAGAGAAGGACAATGAGATATTTAATTTGCCACGGCAAAGCCATTGCTGTGAAGAATGGATAATATATGTCAATGGTAATATATGAAGAAATAACACAGGTGAATAGCAGAGGCAATAAATCTGTTTTTACCACAGGACTTGTCTTACACTTTTCTCTTAGTAATAAATAAAATAATTTTCGACCAGATGGAGCTGGCTTGAAATCCTCTTGTTTATGGCAGTACATATCGGTTATGATTCAAAAAATATAGCCCATTTCCAAAAACCTGCAACAAAGAGATACTTTCTCAGGTGAGTGTTCAGATCATTATTCATTACAAAGTGTCAGTTTTGTCTTTATTGATCCTCATTATTGTAAGAAAGTATGTGGTCCTGTCTCCATTCTATTAAAACAACATTGTAGAGATTAGCACTGAGTCTTTCCAGCCATGTGCATCTGTTCATTTCCATCTCCAGCTTGAGTTTTTCTGTGTATTACAAAATAAGAAAACAAAAATGACACAATAATCTATTTTGTCTGGTTTTGCTCTTTATTAGTAGAAATAGACAAGTGAGGAGTTGGAGGAAGAAATTGCTTCTGATCTGTTTTAGATACAGGTGAAACTCTCCCTCCCTCCCCGCCCTACCCAGTCTTTCTCTGTCTCCCTCCCTGAGCCTATTCTTGCTTCTTCCCTTTACAAATAATTAACTGCTCAGGTCATGTTGAACCAAAAAATAGCGTCTGTAGCCCCTGTGTGCTTACTTTAAGTATATGTTACTGAAAAATGCGGAGTGAGCACTTAACAACTCATTCTCCTGGGAAACACAGTGCTACTATACCCCAAATGCTTTTCTTTATCATTTTAATTTTTATCTTCTTTACTTACATTTCCAACATCAGTTAAGAGGGTCTTGTAGTTTTCTAACTGAAAGGAGACTGTAAAATCTCCTTGCTCAAAACTCAGATGCAGAATATTATTTTTACTACAATAAATACATCTACAACAATGGTATTATATCTGGTTTATTTCAAAGTCAAGTTCTAATACAGGTAAACAAATATACTAATAAAGAGATAATGCTTTTCTCATGAAATGTATAATCTAGTAGGAATAAAGATAAACAATTTTTTTAAAAATTCTATTTCATTAAGCAAAAATGCAACTCAGAAGAATAATGTATATTAGCAGTCATTTACTATTTTTCAATTAAATTCCGATATATATGTAAAGTAAATTATTACTAATATCAAACATAGTTTAAAGAATTAGTGACTATGTGCACTTGGATCTCCATATGTAATGTACTATCAGCATCTTCACAAACACAGTAAATTTTAATAGGCAAGTAAAACTTATTTTACTAAACGATGATTACTCCTTCTATATTCATATTCCTAAACACATACAGTTTCTTAATGTAATTAAGTTTTTAACTAAAAAAAGGGAAATGCATTATTGAGGCGATAGGATTACTGGGTGGCTATAAACACATCTGCTGCACAGCTGACATTTATCTTCTACAATGAGCAGTGACAATTTTATTTTTTAATAATCAGTATGGACTAATCCTGATGATTTTTTTTAACATTTTCAAATAGGGCTGCATATGGCTTAAAATTAATATATACATGTGTACCTATATAATATTCTTATTTATTAATGGACTTCCTACATAGCTCATATTGACGTTAGATTTAAATGAAATTCCAGAAGGGTTTTCTATAGGTAAGTCATACATTGGATTTCCATATTACCTATGATTATCGAAGTATTTATTTCTGTTTTTAAGACTTCAGAGCAATTTTGCTGGTCATTTGTTTTCTGTGTTTTTATTTTGAAATTGTTCTTTGAGGCATTGTCCTATTACATTTTTAAGGTATGTTAATAAAATAATATTTTTAATGAAATTTTGCCTACTGCTTTCCAGGTGAACTCTTGTTTAAAGTATTAATTCACCAAAAATTACTTATATTCAGAAAATGAACTAAAAAAAATAATATGACGTGTTCAAGAAAGTCGAACAAAAGTTACGTGATGTTTGCAACATACACAACTCCATACCCTTCTCAAATAGTAAAGAGAATAGTAAGTAGAATAGGTAGTAAGCAGAGTAGGAATTGTGGAATATGGAACTCTCAGTCACTCAATTGACTTTATTTTCTAGTAATACGGGATTTGAATTATTCAAGCTGAAGCCATTAAATATTCATAGTGCTTCGTATTATAAAGTTATTGATTAATGTCTTTGGTAAAGAACACTATTATTTCTGATTACATCAAGGTCATCCCGAGGAACAGGACCAAAGCATAAAGTTTTATATATGAAATATGAGAAGTTAATACATAATTCATATTTAACAGATAACATAAATGTTAACCCCTTGGAGAATCTGAAGCTAATACCCATGTTCTTCTGGCAATTCTTTATACTGGCAATTTGGAAAATGCCAGTGTTTTATCGCTACCTATTCTTGTATTATGACATGAATTAATACATATCTGCCTCACTATTCCTGTGGGCAAAAAAAGACTGTGAATTATGTGCCAGAGAGAGATTTTACAAAATTAAATGAGGCAAAGTACTTTTCCTCTGTATACTCATTAGAAATATGCTGAGTAGTTCCTTTCCGTTCCTTTCACTTTCCGATAAAATATAATCAGTTCAGCCATATAACAGATATCTTTTAAACTTTTAATGTCCTCTGTTAGAATGAATATGATATTTGGGACCAATTCACATTTTGGAATAATGTACATACTAAGCATAAGTGAAGAATTTAAACATTAACTTGATTTAGGACTGGACTCTTAAGAGGTTTTAAAAAGTTGAAAAACGGAATTCCAACAAATTTAAATGGCTTGTTTAGGGTTTCCACAGGCAATACGGGTGGGTGCAATGGAAAGAGAATTCCTTTAATCTAAACGTGGGCTTTATTCTGGCTCTGCCACATATTGACTGTTTCATACAAATGTAACTTAAACTGCAGGTGTCATGATTTTTCACACATATACAAATAAAACAATGTTGATTATATAGGATTTGTTGAGAAAATGCAATTATGCCAAGTACAAGTATTTGGCCTATTATCTCACTTTATAAATATTAGCAATTCTTTTTGTGGAGGGAATAAATCTAACATGCTGGCTTTTAGAATTTCTTCTTATTTTTCTTTCAACTTTATTGCCATGTAACATCTTTAAGTCAATAAATCTGACAATTAGACTGTGGGTAATTTTCTTCCAAATCCATATCTTGTTTTCTCTATCCATAGTAGCATTTTAAAACAACAGAAGGGAACTTTAATTACAGTAGGTTGGGAGCCATTTTCTCCCTTTGGTCATATTTTCATTGAAATTCCTACATTGTTTAATATTAGGACTTAGTTTGAATATCACATCAACAAGGTTGCTCAATAGAAATATTATGGAATCATTTTTCTGTCATGCCACAGAACTTATTAACTGTATGTTCAAAATGCAGCTCAATTCTGATCATTTTTGCTACTTTCACCACTAGCATCCTGGTGCTAACCACCATCATTTATTGCCCAGGTTATTGAAATGGCCAGCAAACAGGTGTTTCTGATTCTGCGTAAGGCACCCTTCAGTACATCCTCAAAAGAGCAATTTGTATAATCACTTTAAAACATGTATCAGGTTATTACCTTTTTCTGTGTAAAACTCTGATCTCTCGTTTCATTCATTGTAAAAGTCAGAGTCTTGCACAATGCTTTATAGATGCTCCACCACATGAAGCCCCCAATTCTTCTATGGACTTCCCTCCTTCCACTATGTAATTTTCTCACTCAGCTTCACGTACAGTATTTTCTTGGTTATTACTAAACATGCAACAGATACGGTTTGTTCTATATCTTCCTCATGCTTTTGGTCAGATGCCATTATCCCAGTGAGGTTTTCCATAGCCACTTTATTCAAATTCCAAACAATCTGTCCCCTTAGACATTCTCCATTCTTAATTTTTTGCCATTGTACTTACTACAGTCTAACACACTATACATGTTACATTTTTGCTTATTGTTTATTGTATAGTCCCTAGAATATTAGTTCCCTGAGGACAGAGATTTCTGTAAGCTTTTCCAAAGATGTATCCCCAAAGCCCGGAATGCTACCTGGCAACAAATACTTGTTATAATGAATTAGAAGTGGGTAGATTCACACATCAGAGACAGCGTAGTGTATATAATGATTTTTTAAAGCATTAGAGTCATAGATATTAGGATTTGTATTATGTCTTCACCATTTACAATTATGCTACCCTCAACAAGTTGTTTAATCTTTCCATTCCTCAGTTTCCTCATGACTCATATATTGGAAATATTGTCTACCTTAGAGCTCTTCCAAGAGTAATATTGAGACAATGTTTCAACAATGTTTAGCACATTGCTGAATATTAATACATTATTTCTATTAATGTAAGAAATTTCATAGACTTGCTAGAAATAACGAGGATGGAATATAGATGAAGATCATAAAACATGATGGAAATAAATGTTGGAAAATGTGGGTGGTATCCTTAGCACACTCTCTAACGTAAGGAGTAAAATCTGTGTCATATGACTTTATCTTTCTTCTGGAAACTAACGGAATTTAGTAACACACTTTTCTTGACCTGAGGATTTGCCCTTACCACAAAATTGTTTTTGAAACTTGAGTGTTTACAATGGCTTTTTACCAGTTCTTTTATGTTCTACCAGTTCCTCTCCAATTTACTATGGACTGAAGTCAGACTAATTTGTTAAGAGCAAACAAAACAAAACAAAACAAAACAGTTATTACCTCATTCTAGCCTCAAAGCATCTGCCTTTTCAATGCAATCAAAATTAAATGCAATGAAAATTAAATGCAATCAAAATTAAATGCACAATTCTAATTTTGATGACTTTAGTCCCTGCTTATCTGTTATATTAGGCTGTTCTTGTATTGCTATGAAGAAATATCTGAGACTGGATATTATAAAAATGTTTAATTGACTCACAGTCCTGCAGGCTGTACAGGAAGCACAGTGGCATCTTCTTCTGGAGAGGCCTCAGGGAGCTTTTACTCATGACAGAAGGCAAAGCAGGAGCAGGCACTTCACATGGTGAAAGCAGGAACAAGAGAGAGAGAGTGTGTTGGGGTAGGTGCACTACCATGGAGACAGCACCAAGTCACGAAGGATTCGACCTCATGATCCAAACACTTCCCACCAAGCTCCACCTTCAGCACTGGGGATCTGGTTTCAACATGAGATTTGGGCGGGACATCCAAACTATATCATCTGTCTCCCTCATCCAAGACCATGTGATCCGTAGCTCACTTTTGTCTAGCAACAGATTAAATACAGCATTTTCTGTGTGATATCTTTGTTGAGGTCTTTGCAGATGGCTGTTTCTTTGTCCTGAAACTTTCTTCATCTGCTCTTTCAAAATGAGTGACTCTTCATCCTCGAAGTCTATGCTTATATATTGCTTTTCAGAGGAATCTTTTCTGAACTGGGCATTCTGCCTTCAACCAACTATTTTCTATTATAGTTTCCTGTTTGTGAGTTAATAGTCCTTTTGAAAATTTGACTACTCATTTACCTTCTTGGGTTATTTGAAATTATCTCCTCTTCACTAGATTCTATAGAAGCATAGCCATGCCTGCCCTCTTTACTGTTTCTCTACTGACTTGTTGCAATGAATATTGTCAGTAAACATGGAAATAAATCAGTTATTCAGATATCCTACCTTGGTGCTTGCTTAGATAACTCCACACTGTGATGCCTAATGACCTACACAGGGCTTTCTAGCAAGGAGTGACTTTCTTTCTGCTACGTGTAATAATGATCCGTCAACTTAAACATATAGTTATATTTCCAGCAGACGGTTTCTTGAAACTAATGTCCAGGGTGTAGTTATTCAAAAAAGCAAACTCTTCTCTTGATTTCTGCCATACATTGGTACTCTTTCTCTCTCCCTTTTTTATTTTATTATTTTTTTTTGAGACAGAGTCTCACTCTTTCACCCAGGCTGTGGTGCCATCCCAGCACACCCTGCAACCCATTGCCTCCCAGATTCAAGCGATTCTCCTGCCTCAGCCTCCCTAGTAGCTGGAATTACAGGCATGTGCCACCATGCCTGACTGATTTTTTGTATTTTTAGTGGAGACGGGATTTCACCATGTTGTTCAGGCTGGTCTCAAACTCCTGACCCCTAGTGATCCATCTGCCTCAGCCTCCTAAAGTGCTGGGATTACAGGCGTGAGCCACCCCGCTCGGCCTACTCTTTTATTTCTGTTTTGTCTTTCCTTTCTCAAGAAAGAAAACAAACCAAAACCAAAACAGTTTGGAAGACTTTATAGTATTCATCCATACAAAAGAACAAGATCATGTCCTTTGCAGGAACATGGGTGGAGCTGGAGACCATTATCCTCAGCTCCACCCATCCTCAGCTCCCACTAACGCAGGAACAGAAAAACAAATGCAGCATGTTCTTATTTATAAATGTGAGCCAAGTGATAAGAACACATGGACTCATAGAGGAGAACACCACACACTCGGACCTACCTGAGAGTAGCGGGTGGGAAAACGGAGAGGTTGAGGAAAAGTAACTAATGGGTACTAAGCTTAATACCCGGGTGACAACATAACCTGTACAACAAATCCCCATGACACGAGTTTACCTGTATAACAAACCTGCACGTGTACTGCTGAACTTAAACTAAAAGTTAACAAAAGGCCAGGTGCAGTGTTTCACACACGTAATCCCAGCACTTTGGGAGGCTGACATGGGTGGATCACCTGAGGTCAGGAGTTCAAGACCAGCCCGACCAACTAAATACAAAAAGTTAGCTAGATGTGGTGGCAGGTAATCCCAGCTCCTCTGGAGGCCAAGGCAGGAGAATCGCTTGAATCCAGAAGGCAGAGGTTGCAGTGAGCCGAGATTGTGCCACTGCACTCCAGCCTGGGCAATAAGAGTGAAACTCTGTCTCAAAAAAAAAAAAAAAAAAAAAAAAAAAAGTTAACAAAACGTTCTTCTCTAGTTCTAAAGCACCAACACAGAGGTGATCAAAATACTCTAAGAAGCACTGGGAAACATTGAGGGGATGGTTCAAACATCAGAGCTAAGGCCTAATTTCCCAACAGTCATTATTTCTGTGGTATTTTGCATATTAGAGACGTATAGGTTCCTCACCTAATCCTTGTTTTTTCATTTTATTTTTAATACATATGAAAGTCATAATAACAAAAAAAATTCATACATCAGCAGCTCAGCTAGAAATAAAAGTCTCAATCTACTGGAAGCCCCTGTGAACTTGTATCAAATTCCTTTCTCTCTTCATAGAGGAAATAATGACTCCCAAAATGTGGTAATGAACAAATATCTCTAATTGTTTAAAATTTAGTATATGTGCAAGTCTCCACAGACACAATCATGATCATATATTTTTAGAAGTTAAAAACGTGTCTATCATCAGGGCGTGGTGGTTCATGCCTGTAATCCCAGCACTTTGGGAGGCCTAAGTGGGTGGATCACCTGAGGTCAGGCGTTCAAGACCAGCCTGGCCGACATGGTGAAACCCTGTCTCTACTAAAAATACAAAAGTTAGCCAGGCGTGGTGGAGGGTGCCTGTAATCCGAGCTACTCAGGAGGCTGAGGCAGGAGAATTGCTTGAACCCGGGAGGCGGAGGTTGCGGTGAGCCAAGACCACGCCACTGCACTCCAGCCTGGACAACAGAGCAAAAACTCCGACTCAAAAAAAAAGTGTCTATCTACCTTCTGCTTTATTTTGTTTTATATGACATTGATGATGTCCATCTATGTTGGCCCATATAATTCTTATCAATTATTTTAAATGCTGTTTAGCATTGTACTATATAAAAATATCAAAACACAGCTCCCTTTTGTTCATTATATTGCCATTTAGTTTTTTTCTCATTTTTTGCTATTTCAACAAAAAGCTGCTATGAATGTGTATGTGTGTATATATATATTAAATGTGTATATATATGAATGTATATATATATACACATATATATGTCAGAGTTTCTCTAGGATATAAACCCAGGAACAAAATTTAAAAATCATAGGGTGTATTGGATCTTACATCACTGCAGACCCTCTCAGCATTACCTCTTGTTCCAGTCAGAGCCTTGGTTACTATTTTTATGTAGACTTTGGTCAGTTTCATAAAGATGGAAGTGATAGTATGTGGCTTCAGACCAGAGCAAGAATTCACTTTCTGCTGTGGGATTTCTCAGACAATGTTGTGTGGATTGTTGTAGGCATTTTGCTTGTTACTCATAAATGCACTGTCTAGACACATCGAGAAGTTAGCATCCATGAGGCTATGCTTGAAAAATGGAACTCCTAGAGCTGATGGATACATATTTCCCCCGTTGTTTCACTTCAGTGAATGGTCATATAGTATTCCATCACCTAACTTAATAATGTGTTCTAGATTTTACTCTCTCTCCCTATAGCACCCATCCTGTTTCTTATTCTTACTCCACAATACACTCCCAACTTAAACACACAGTCTCTTCTTTAGGTGTTGGGGGTTGGGAGTTATTACAAGATGACATGGTGTATGCATTTATTTCTTTGTCTACGTTGATTGCACTGATTTACAGTCTCACCAGCAGTTCATAAAATCCTTCCTTGCAGCTAAGATATGGGCACAAGACTAAAATTTATATCTTTAGCTGATATCTCATTCCTGAACACTCATCTCATTTGCGACTGCCTTGAATATCAAATAGGCATCTCAACCTTAGTAAGTAAAAGAGAATTCTTTATCTGCATCCTGCCAATCCTGCTTCTTTCCCAGTAATTTTTCACTCAGTAATTTGAGCCATTATTAATCTATTTTCTAAAGCTTCAAAACATGGAGTCATTACCAGCTGTTTTATATACACCATTCCAAGCCATTAGAAAGTCAATTCCATTTCACCTGGAAGTTTATTGCAAATTTGACAATTGTCTCTTACATGAACTACTAAAATAGCTTCTCAGCAGCATCTGTGTGCTGCCATTATCCATCCTTCCTCCAGTCTCTTCCCCACCAGGCAATGGAAGTCATCTCTGGCAATATAATGCATTTCACATTAGTTTCATTTTTCCAGCTGAAAATCTCAAAAGTATTTCATTTACATGCCTAATAAAAGCTAAAGATATAATCTTGCTCAGAACTATAAGCTGGCTTCTCCACCTACCATTATCCTTTGCCTTGATTACTCTGCTCTATATCATCATCTTGCATACCCTAACACATGACTTTTATACTCATTGCTCCATCTGTTATAAACATACTGATAAATAATGTTTCCTCTTTAGCAGTGATTTCCTGATCTAATCAATATTTTGGTATCATATAAACTCATTGGATTATTAGTGATTATCACTAACCTGCTATCATACAATACACATTTAATTTCTTTTCTCCTTGTTTATTGTCTAAACTGCTAGGTAGAAGGGCACTTTATCTATTCTTATCACAAACGTAGGACAACGGCTAGCACAAGGTTAGGAACTTACACGCTATTCGATTAATTGTTGTTTAATAATTGATTAAAAACTCCAGAACTTTGGGTTCCATTCTTATGATGACAATAATATAATGCTAGGGATGCCAAGTGAATAGCAAGTTTAACCAAGTTATCCTGTATGGGGAGCCACAGTTACTTAAAATGTCTGACAATCCACAGTCCTGGTGATGATGTGGAATATCACTCTCTTAATCAATGCAAACAATTTATTTAATAGTCATAGTGCTAAAGATGGCATGCCCTCCAAATGAGCAATTGCACTCTTGGTTATGCATTTATATGAATATGTATATAGGAATAGTCATGATAAAACTACTAATTATTATAAAATTTTTGGAAAAAGCATAACTATTAAAAATGAAATTGGTAACTTAAGACTACTCAATACATCAGTAAAAATGAATGAACTAAGCAAAAACATGGATGAATTTCAAAAACGAAATTTATTTTCATTATTTATTAAGAAAGAAAATTTGCACTGTTTTCAAGTCTAATACCAAACAGAACTAAATGGTATTTCTGGATAAACAAATTAGAAAATAAAATTATGAAAAATGCAAGAAAAAAATTACCACAAAAGTTGGGATAGAAGTTACATTAAGAGATGGCATGGTCTTATACAAAGAAAACCCTAAAGACTCTGAAAGACTCCTAGACTTGGCAAATGACTGCAATAAAGTTTCAGAATACAAAGTCAATGTCCAATAGTCAGTAGTATTTCTATATAGCAATAATATTCAAGCTGAGAACAAAATCAAGAACTCAATCTCATTTACAATACACACACACACACACACACACACACACACACACACACACACACATATAACTGAGAAATACGTTTAACCAAGGAGGTAAAATATTTCTACAATAAGAACTACAAAAGATGGGTGGAAGAAACCTGAAATAAAACAAACTAATGGAAAAATATCCCATGTTCATGGATTAAAAAAAATTAAAAATGACCATGGTGTCCAAAGCAATCTAAAGATTCAGTGCAATTTCTATCAAACTACCAATGTCATTTTTCACAGAATTAGAAAACAACAATCCCAAAGTGTATATGAAATTCTGAATTGAAAAAATGACCCAGATAGCCAAAGCAATTCTAAGCAAAAAGAACAAAGCTGGAGTCAGCACTTCACCCCATTTCAAATTATACTACAAACCTATAGTAACAAGAACAGCATGGTACCAATACAAAAACAGATACATAGTTTAATAAAATTAAATAGAGAACCAAGAAATAAAGCCACATACCTACAACCAACTAATCTTCAACAAAGCGTGCACAAATAAACAATGTGGAAAGGATACCTTTTTCAATAAATTGTACTAGAAAAAATGGATATCCGTATACACAAGAATAAAACTGGATTCCTGTATCTCACCATATATAAAAATTAACTCAAGATTGATTAAATACTCAAATGTAAAAACCTATACAATTCCTAGAAGAAAACCTAGGAAAACTTTACTGAATATCAGCCTTGACAAAGAATTTATGACTAAGTCATCAGAAGCAAATGAAACAAAAATAATAATAGGCAAATGGGACCTAAGTAAACTAAAAATCTTCTGCACAGCAAAGGAAATAATCAACAGAGTAAACAGGCAACCTACAGAACAGGAGAAAATATTCACAAATTATGCATCTAACGAAGTACTAATATCCAGAATCTACATGGAACCCAATAAGTAATAAACACATTATGTCATTACAAAGTAGGCAAATGACATAAACAAACATTTATCAAAAGAAGACATGCAGGTTGCCAACAAACATTAAAAAATACTCAAGATCACTGATGATCATAGAAATGTAAATCAATATTGAAGTGTGTATTAGTCTGTTCTCATGCTGCTATGAAGAAATACCCGAGACTGGGTAATTTATAAGGAAAAGAACTTTAATGGACTAACAGTTCCGTACGGCTGGGGAACATTCAGGAAACTTACAATCATGGTGGAAGGGGAAGCAATCAAGTCCTTCTTCACATGGCAGCAGGAAGGAGAAGAATGAGAGCCGAGCAAATGTGGAATCCCCTTATAAAACCATCAGATCTTGTGAGACTCACTCACTATCACAAGAACAGCACGGAGGGTAACCGCCCTCATGATTCAATTACCTCCCACCAGGTGCCTCCCATGACACATGGGGATTATGAGAACTAAAATTCAAAATGAGATCTGGGTGGGGACACAGCCAAACCACATCAAAAAGTGATTCATTTGACATGGTCTTCCCTATCTTCTCTCATTTAGGGTAACATTATTTCCTTGAATCAAAAGGGTATCCCTGTAGACTTTGAGTTCATCTTGACATCTTTGAACCATGGATTATCAATTTGCAAATGTTATTTGTTGAATTATTGAGCTATATTCCTTGACATGCTTTTAAGAATGATATTTTCATTAAAATAAATGAGGGACTCATCCTAATATTTAGGAAGATTTCTCAACATCATCACATACAATTATGAATTATTATGGACACAACAGTGGTAGTTTGGATTTTTATTGTGGTTAAACTTTTAGAAAGTACAAAGTATTCATAAATCTACATTTTAATATTTTATAATTCAAATGAATTTTAAGTAACTATTTTGATATTCTATAAATAAAAATGTCACCTATACTATATAAGGATTCACTCACTTCTCTCTGCATTCTCATCAATACCTGATGTGTTGTGACTTTTAAAAACTAGCCATTCTGACTAGTATAAGGTGACATTTCGTTGTGGTTTTAATTTTTATTTCTCTGATGATGAGACTGAGCATTATTTCATATGTTTGCTGTCCACTTGTATGTCTTCTTTTGAGAAATGCCTGTTTATGTACTTTGTCCATTTTTTAATGGGGTTATCTATTTTGTTGTTGTTGTTGAGTTGTTTGAATTTCTTGTCGATTCTGGATATTAGTACTTAGTTGGATGCATAGTTTGCAAATATTTTCTCACATTCTTCAGGTTATCTGTTTTCTCAGTTATTTCTTTTGCTGTGCAGAAACTTTTTTGTTTAATTAAGTCCCATTTGTCTACTTTTGTTTTTGCTAAATTTGCTTTTGAGGTCTTAGTCACAAATTTTTTGCCAAGGCCAATGTCTAGAAGAGTTTTTCCAGGTATTCTATGAGTACTTTTATATCTTCAGGTATTATATTTAATTCTTTAATTCATCCTGAGTTAATTTTGTGGATGGCAACAGATAGGGGCCCAGTTTTATTCCTCTGCATGTGGCTTTCCAATTTTCCCTGCACTATTTATTGAAGGGGATATCCTTTTCCCAGTGTATGTTTTTTTCAATGTTGTCAAACATCCATTGACTGTAGGTAGGTCCCTTTATAAATATCCACTAATAAAGTGACAAAGTGCCTTTGTCACTTTATTCCTGGAATTTCTATTTTGCTCTATTGAGTATTGTGTCCATTTTTATATCACTATCATATTGTTTTTGTTACTATAGCCTTATAGTATAATTAGAAGGAATGTAAATTTGTCCCACCTCTATTAAAACAGTATGAAAATTTTTTCAAGTATTAAAGAGCCACAATTCACTCTATCAATCCTATACTGGGTGTATACCCAAAAGAAAAAATATCATTATACCAGAAAAGATATTTGCACTCATTTATTTATAGCAGCAATATTCATAATACCAAAGATATTGAATCAACATGTGTCCATCAACAAATAACTGGATAAAGAAAATGATGTGATATACATATATACATATATACACACACATACACGCACAATGAATACTACACAGCTATAAAAAATAAAATCATTTCACTTGCAGCAATATGGAAGGATAATTTTACACTTTATGTCTTAGTCTGTTTTGTGCTGCTGTAACAAAATACCTGAGACTGGGTAATTTATAAAAAATAGAAAATTATTTTCTGATAGTTCTGTAGGCAAGGAAGTCAATGATCAAGATACCAGCATGTAATGAGGGCCTTCTGTTGCACTCTCAGATAGCATTAGTTTAAATGGCAAGAGAAAGGCAGAACTCTATTTGAGAGGGCTGTTGCAACCTTACAGCATGATACATCTTGTGAAATATGGTTTTGAACATTTTTATTAAAAATGTAGGCATCAAAATCTCTACCATTTGTGTCATGTTATAATAATAACTATAAAACTGCATTATTCAGAATATGTAACAATAAAAATTAATATTAAAAAGTTTTAAAATGTATTTGCTTTTGCATATATCGTTTCTATTGATCATAACAACCAGATGTGATAACCAGGGCCAGATATTTCTACTGTTATCATTAGAAATCAAAGAAAACTAACATATTGGATGGTTTTAAAAATTATAAAAATTGTAAGTGTACATATAAATATTAACTTGTAAGTCATCTTGCAAGTATTATAATCAGATTTCATTTTCAAATCGTGATGAATCTAACATGATACCTAAGTTTGTATATTGAACAATGTGTATACATGTGCACACACTTTTAATTTATATTTTTCTCATTCTGAGTGATAATGCAGCAAAATTTAAAGAGATTACACTATAATTATGTTTAAAATCTTACTTGTACTTTTGAAACAAATCACAGGTTGAGTCATGATAACAGGACAAAATATACTTAGCTGCTGAATATAAACAAAGTATACAGAAGCGTAAATCTTGCGAGCACAAAAGTGTTAAAAACAGCAAGATCTAGAGGCTCAAGTACAAGAGAGATATATTATACCAAGAGCAGTAATCTCAAAAATTTATATCCCAAATGTGTAGACTTGATCTTATTTTCAGTCAGTGTGTTCTGTATGGAAGATGAACATGCTCCTGACAACGGAGTATGATTTAGAAAACTATATCCTGCACAGAGGGATATAAAATGTGATTATATACTGCACTTCTGTGCAAAATTTTAAACAGAATTTAATCAGTCACTTTGAAACCTAGATGTATTTGTGGAACAATGACATCACTTTGAAATTATGTGTAGTTTGTAAATGCACAAAATTAATAATGTATTTTGTGTAAATGGATTACTTTGGAAAGAAACTCATAAGAACTACATTATCAGACAAAACATTCTTTGAAAATGTGTGTGCTACAAGGCAATTTGCCATTTCATTTTAATAGAATGTTCCATGCTGAAAATGTCTAACTGCTCAGAAGTGGAATAGGAGTGTAAATTTATTATCTGAGAAAAGAAAATTAATTGACACAGGCCAAAAATGTAATGGAATTAGACCCATGTGCCTTAGTGAGAACTTAGGAACTCGATCTGGGCTCTATGGAGTGACAAAATTATGCAAAAAAAAAATGAAGTATGTCATTTTTGCACAAAGCTCAGGATTTCTCAAAGGAATATTACATAAAATAATGAAGTCTCCTTTATCTCCAAGACAGTCCAGTCTTAGAACGCAATGGAACATGCCATTTGAAATAAAAAACAAATTTTGTTTTTGTTTTGTTTTGTTATGTTTGGTGCTATTTTAAGTATTTAACATTCATAAAGAGAGAATTAGCAATTAATGAGATAAAGTTTAAAAAAAATCGAGATCAGGACAAGGTAAAAAAAAATCATTCAGTCTTGCAAATCTGTTATTTAATAGGTCATGTTTTAAGAACTGGGAATACAGATACTACGTGTATTTTAAATAGAAAATTTGAAATGTACAAGAAGTCATTTTTAAATATAGTCACTCTGCTATAAAGTCAATCTCTAAAACTCAATCTTTGTGTCTAACTGAAACTGTACCCTGTGAACAACATCTCCCCATTCCCTATCCCTTGCCTCCAGCATTAACTAGCATTCTACTCTCTACTTTTAAGGGTTTGCCTTTTTTCGATTGCTAAAAAGTCTATTTTCAGTGTTCTCACAACAAAAAGATAAATATGTGACATAAGAGATGTGTTAAGCAGCTTGATTTAATCATTCCACAATATAAATATATACGAAGACATAATACTGTACCCCTCAAAACAATTATTATTTGTTTATTTAAAACATTTAAAAACAAAAAATGAGACAAATATCAGGAAAGTAATTTTATACATAAGCTAGATAATTGCCTATAGCTGCGTATGCTGTGAAATAATTTCTGTTTGAAAAGACAGGAAAAATTATATGGCAAAACCATAGTGCAGTAATAAATTTGCCATGTTTAGTAAACAAAATATAGTTCAATGTGACTGAAGCATACCAAGAGGCAGAAGAATGTGGTGTACACTGTAGTGTAGAGGAGTGTCTTAGTTTGGGCTGCTATACAAAATACCATAGATTGAGTGGCTTACAAATAACAAAAAAAGTATTTCTTACTGTTCTAGGGGTTGGAAGTCCAAAGTCAGAGTGCCAGGATGTTCTGGTTTTGGGGAGGGCCCTTTTGCGGTTGCAGACTGTTGGGTTTTTGTATAAGCACATGGGGAAAGAAGTGAGAGCTCTCTTAGGTCCCTTTTATAAGAACACTAAGCCTATTCATGAGGCCTCTACTATGACAACCTAATTACCTCCTGAAGGTCCCACTACTAATACCATTACATTGACAGTTACGATTTCAATATACAGATTTTGAGGGTACACTTTAAAAATTCAGTCCGTAACATTCTGCCCCAGGTTCCCCAAAATTCATGTCTTCACATGCAAAATGCAGTCATTCCATTCCAACAAATCCACAAATCTTAACTCATTCCAGCCTCAAGTCCAGTCTAAAGTCCAAGGTCTTATTTAAATATTACCTAAATCAGATGCAGGTGAGCTTCACGGTACAGTTCATTCTCACAAAATTTCTCTTCATCTGTGAACCTGTGGAATCAAACAACATGAACTCTCAAAATACAATGGTGAGACAGGCATAGGATAAACATTCCCATTCCAAAAAGAACCACTATTCGAAAAAAATAAAATATATGAATGCTGGATCCCAAGTAAATCTAAAACCTAACAGGGCAAACTCCATCAAACCCTAAGGTTCAAGAAGCATCCTCTTTGGCTTGATGACTCACCTTCCAGACAGTCCCCGACAGCTCAGTGAGGCACTGCTCGCTGCTGACTCTATGCACTGGACCCACTTATGGCACAGTCTTTTGTCAGGGCTGAGGTCACTCACCCAGGGCTTCACTGGATGGCCCTCCCACACAGCTCCTCTGAGCATCATTTCTGTCCTTTGAAATCAAAATGGAGGTAACCTTGGCCCACCTTGCCATACCCTCTGGATTTTTGGTAAAAGCAGCAGCTGTAATTGTCTCCAAATCCCCTTTGCGCCCCTTCTTCCGTAATTTTGAAGGAGAGAATAGCACACATCCACAACTGAATAGCTCTCGGGTCCGGGCCTGTAGGGCTTAAGCATTCCGAATGTCTTCCTTTATTTCGTCCCATTATCTCTGTTTCCTTTAGTCCCAACTGGCAGTGTTTCTCCTGGTATAATCCCATTTCTAGTCATGGTTTGTGTTGAGATGTTTGATTAAGCCTGTGGTTCACACCCATATTAATCAAATCAGTAAGGGTCCGAAACACTCTTCATGTTCTCTTCAGAACACACTTTCTCACTTTTTTTGCAATATGGACAGGCTGAGAATTTCCCAGATCTTAAATTATGGTTACTTTTTCCTTAACAATTCCATCTTCAAACCTTTTTCTTTTTCTACATTTGACTCTACGGATTCAGAAGGAACCAAGCTGCTGCTTCTACATGTTGCTGAGAAATCTGCTGGGTTAAATGTCCAATTTCACTGCACACAAGTTCCACCTTCCGCAAAACACAAGAGCATGAATACAATTCAAAGAAGTTTGTTTCCACTTTTCAACATGGATTGCTTTTGCTCCATTTTCCAATAACATTTTCATTTCCATTTGAGACTCCAACAGAATGACCTTTACTGTCCATATTTTATCAATATTCTGTTCATGATTATTTAATTATTTTCTGAGAAGACAGCGTTTTCTTCTATATTTCTTTCCGAGCCCTCACGAGAATTGGCTTTTAAATTTCTTCCACAGTAATCTAGCATTTTGCATAAAACCTCATCAATCTCTGCCAATCACTGAGCCCAAAACCATTTTCACTTTGTTTTAGGTATTTATAATAACAGCACTCCCACTTCTCATGATCAATTTCCATCTTCAGCCGTTCAGGCTGCTTTAATAAAGTTCCATAACCTGAGTGGCTTTTAAATAACGGAATGCACATCTCACAGTTCTGGAGGCTGGAAGTCCAACAGCAGAGTGCCAGCATAATTGGGTTCTGGTGAGAGAGCTCTCTTGGGTTTCAGACTGCTGCCTTCTCAATGCAGCTTCACATGGTGGACAGAAAGAGCTCTCAAGAGTCATTTTTAAGGGCACCAATCTAATTTATGAAGCCTCCACCATAATAAGCTAATTACTTCCCAAAGTTCATTATAAATATGCAGCTTATAGGTCCTGCTACCATCATACTGAAGGTTAAGTTTTCATCACATGAATTTTGAGGGGACACAACATTCAGTTGCAACAAAAAATACTCAGTGGTTTTTAATTACAATATTGATTATGTAAATACAGAATAAATTTTAGCTCTAAACATTATCCATGATGTGATTAATTAAATTACTAGTTTAAAAAATTGAATCTGTAATTTATCTTGCCTCTATAATTATTATAAGAACTTGTAAACTTTTAACTTGTTTTCTTTAATTTGACCATTTCTGAAATTGTATCTCTAAGTATTGATATATACACTTCCTAGTGCATATAAAAGTTATGCATATTTAGAGTAATAAGTAGTGTGTTATCATGTTTTTATATCAGGGCAGGAAGGGAGAAGTTGAAGAACAAAGTGTCCTTTTCAAGAACTTCAGCCCACGTATGTTTCTACAGGACTATAACATGTCACCAGCCACAAGGGCAAGGAGACTGGGCATTGTAGTTATTTGGCAGGACACATTGCTCTTTCAAACAAAAATGGCATTCAGAAACAAGAAAGTAGGGAAGAGAGGTTTTGGTTGGACAACTTGCATTGTTGTCCCTTCTTTTCTTAGACTTCCAAATTCTTGGTTTCAGAATTCTTTATAAGGTTACCCCTCTGAGTAATTTTATCGGTCCATTAAATCTCCCAAGTCCAGGTCCCCAAGCTCTTCTCAACTAGTATGACAGCAACTTGTATAGAGATGTCAATGCAGTACAAATGCTTGTTTTAAAGTTGTTTTAATCCAGCTTCTATCATTCTAAATATTGTTTTAATCCAATATTCTAATTCAGAATATTGAGAATAAACTAATCTTACATGAAATATCTTTTTTCTCCTATTATTTGATATGTGTGTCTATAAAATAACATTTTCTAATTACAGAATGTGCAAGCAAAAAACAAAAAGGGCCTGTGTCCCTAGTCCCATTTTCTTGCTTGGAGGTAACATCCACAACATTTTTAGTTTTCTGTTGTTCTTCTCTAATGCTCCCAATAATATACCTTTGTTGTGGTTATTGTTGTTATTATTGCTCTTGCATCAAGCACTATCTCTTAGTGCTCATGCACGTCCTTACCGAGGTCCATTTCTTTACTCTCTGCCCCATTCCAAGTTGTGTTAGGTAGAGGATTATACTGATCAAGTCCTGTTTTTAGCTATCTTCATAACATTAACACTTTAAACCTCAATGTCTTCACTGTTCTACTGTCCTATGAGCTCTAGCAATCTCAAGTTTCATGTCACTTCTCAGACTATGGCAATGGTAATCTGCATTAATGGCAAAATCATTAATATTGATGAAAATTTTTATTTTCTGCCCTTCCCAAAATCATCTACTTCTTTGGAATTTACATTAGCAGGCAACAATGGCAGTGGCAATACTACCTTTTGGAAGGTAACTGTAGCTCCACCCTTATCTGTAAAAAGATATGTATTAAGACCCCCAGTTGATGCCTGAAACAGTGGATAGTAAACATGTACTATTTTTCCTACACATACATACTTATAATAGACTGTAATTTAAAAATTAGGCATAGTGAAATTTAACTAATAATTATAGTAGTTTATTAGTTAAACTACTACTAATTATTATAGTAGTAGTATTTGTTTAAACTAATATACTCATTATGGGAGTAGTATTAAACTAATAGGCTAATTATATTAGTTTAATAATTCTATTAGTTTATTAGTTAAACTAACACTACTAATGATAATAGAATTATATTAGTTATACTAATATATTATGTATAGGAGTAGTATACTTCTATAATTATATAGGAATATAATTATATTCCTTTTACTAATAATTATATGAACATAACTAATAATAGAATTATTATAACAATATACTGTAGTAAAAGTTATGTGAATGTGGTCTCTCTTTCTCTTGAAATACCTTATTATTATCTACTTTTCTTTTTGTGATAAAGAAAACAGGGAGTAGGATGGACAACCTGAGAATTTATCACGTTATGGTACACAATTTCAAAGTTATTATTTCTATAACTTTTATTTAATATTTTTCAAAACATGATTGACCCCTGATAGCTAAAACTGGGGAAAGTGAAACCGCTGGTAAGGGGGGACTGCTGTGTTGCTAAAAGTGTCTTCCTTTGCTAAATGTACCAAGAGTAGATTCTCAAGAGGAGTAACATAGATAGGAATTTACGTTGTAGATGGCCTCAGCTATTGCTAAATATCTACAAATTCACTTGGGAATAATATAAGCAGCCACATCAGCAACAATATCTTGAGTAATATTGTTAATGGAGCATCAGGAATTAGGGCTTTGCAATTATGAGATACATTTTTCCAAAGACATGATGCAAACATCCTTAGCAGTAGAAGAAAAAAGTTGAATTCCAACTCTTTGTCAAGAGGCATTTTTGGGAATTGTTATTATATCCAATTTTCGCCCAGGATTATGTGGCATGATAAATATGCCTTACAATAACTTAGTTAAGAATATTATAGGTAATACATATTTCATCACCTTAAGAAATGTGAATGGCTGTTTGGAGGTATATTAACATCATGTAGATGGAGGCTCAAGACTGCTGAGATAAAATTGAATACATTTAGAAAGACTGATGGCATATTTTCCTGAAGAGAATCTTTAGAAAACCAAAGAGTTAATGTCAGGTTTTCATATGTCTTAGTAGTCTGAATAAAACCTGTTAAATAATTTTTCCTGGAAGAAACATATTACTATTTAATTTTCAAAAAGTGATATTAATAGTTAATTATCCAGTTATCTGGACTTTTTCCAAAAGAGTTTATCTATAAAGAGCATCTACTCTATGAAATGTAGAAATAAACTCAAAGGATAGTAAATCAGTATTCAGTCTGTAAATATTACCTCACTGTGTCCATGACATTTGTGAACTTAGTAACCAAATTTAAGGATTTAATGTGTTTGCTTGTTGTTAACATATATGGAGAGAGAAAAATAAATGGATGAATTTTCAGAATTTATCTAATTTTCTCCTCCATCAAAGTTAAAAATTAGCTGTTTGATTTCCTATACTGAGCTAAAATTCTCTGGCATTTTATCTTGATATTACTGACATCCTGGAAGGAGTATCTTGTTTGTTTGGCAAGTGGATTTTTTTAAAAAAATAAATTATTGCTTCATAATTTTTATTGTTTATATTTCAAGGTTATGAAAAATGCCCTTAAAAAATAGATGGTATATATATATATATATATATATATATATAAAATATATATTTTAATCTGCATGTAGTATACCTGTTGTGACAAAAATAAACGAAAGCTTAATTTCTTGCCAAGTTGTAGACTATTACAGTATATTATTTTAAGCGTTATGCTATACATACTTCTTTTGAAAATTTATGGAGTACATGAGATGTTTTGATACTTGCATAATAATCACATCAGGGTAAATTGAATATCCATCACTTCACACAGTTATCCTTTGTGTTACAAACAATCTGATTATACTCTTCTAGTTATTTTTAAATGTACGATTAAATTATTTTTGACTATAGTCACCCTGTTGTGCTAGCAAATGCTAGGTCTTATTCATTCTTTCTAACTATGTTTTTGTACCTATTAGTCTGCCCCGCTTTCCTCCCAAACCCTCACTACCCTTCTCAGCCTGTTAACCTTTATACTGTTTATCTCCATGAGTTCAATTGTTTTAAGCCTTAGCTCCCACAAATAAGTGAGAGCATCCGAAGTTTGTCTTTCTGCGCCTGGCTTGTTTCACTTAACATAATGACCTCCAGTTCTATCCACATTGTAGCAGATGACAGGAACTCATTGTTTTTTATGGCTGAATGGTATTCCATTTTGTATATGTACTATATTTTCTTTATTCATTCATCTCTTGATGGATACTTAGGTTGATTCCAAATTTTGGCTATTGTGAGTAGTGCTGAAATAAACATGGAGTGCAGATATCTCTCTGATATACTATGTCCTTTCTTTTGGTTATACACCCAGGAGTGGGATTGCTGGATCATATGATAGCTCAATTTTTGCTTTTTGAGAAACCTCCAGACTGTTCTCCTTAAGGGTCATACTAATGTACATTCCCACTGACAGTGTGCAAGGGTTCCTTTTTCTGTATATCCTCGCCAACTTTTGTTATTGCCTGAATTTGGGATAAAAGCCATTTTAACTGGGGCCTCTTAACTTTTTCCCCACACATTTCTTAATTCCTTGATGAAAAATGCTAAAAGATAAGTCACTTTCATACTTCCTAGATACAGTTATTCATTCACTCTTTTATTTTTTTAAGTTTCTTATTTAATAGATATGTATTAAATATTTACCTTGTCTCAGCCAATGTAATGTGTGACAGGCATACAAAGATGAATATAGCAGAAAGTTTATGCCTCTTAAGAAGCATAATGAAGTCATTTAAACAAATAATAGCTACAAATTTTGATGAGCACTGTCATAGAGGTAAGAATATTATGGTGGGGTGGGATGGAAGAAATTAAAATATGTCAATCTACTTTGCGTTGTAAGGAAAATCTTGGCAAAGAAGATACATGTTATGATTTGGCTCTGTGTCCCCACCCAAATCTCAACTCGAATTGTAATCCCCATGTGTCATGGGGAGGGACCTGGTGGGAGGTGATTAGCTCAAAAGGGTGGTTTTCTATGCTGTTCTTGTGATAGTGAGGGGGTTCTCAGGAGATCTGATGGTTTTATAAGTGGCAGTTTCCCCTGCATGCTCTCTCTCTTACCTGCCACAGTGTAAGACTTGCCTTGCTTTCCCTTCACCTTCCACCATGATTATAAGTTTAATTATAAGTTCACTTATAAGTTCAGCCATGTGGAATTGTGAGTCAAGTAAGCCTCTTTTGTTTATAAATTATCCATTCTCAGGTAGTATCTTTATAGCAGTGTGAAATGGACTAATAAGATAAACTTCAATAGAATACTTAAGAAATTGTGGTAATCAACTAGTTTATGAATGGAAAGAATCATTTTATCAAAGGAAATTAAGAGCATAACAATGTGGCATTAAAACAGATTAGGGAGTTCTGAGGGTTGTAAGGATGATGGAACAGGTACATAATAGGACAATATGGGAGAATAATTAAAGAAGTCCTGAGGGTAGGTCACTGAGGCCTTATATGTTATAAAAGGGGGATTTTACTCTAGGAATTGGGAAAGTGTTTGAAGAAAGAGAATAGTGTGATTATATTTGCTTTTTAGTTTGAAAAGAAGTAGCCTGGAAATGAATGAGATTACAGCCAGAGAAGAGAAAGAATATATTTTGATGAAAGAATATATTTGGGTACTGATACAATAGTCCGGGTTAAAGATGATTTGGACCCTGGCACATGGAGGATGCTGTGGGGTCATAAAGGAAGAAATGGTAATAAAAATAACTAAAGTTTTATTGGATGAAGTTTTCAAGCCAACAAAGCATAAAACACAGACACAAAAACGACGTCTAAAATGATTTCTTAGTTTCTTAGTCATGTATTAGGTGTCAACCAAGACAGGGAATACAGACAGAGCAGTAAAGAGTTCAGCCCCAGACTCAATCCTATATGTGATTTTTGGGCCCATCCATAAACAATGACAAAGACTTGACCAAGTGGGTCCCACAGGGAGAGCTGCCCTCCCCACACTAGTGCATAGTCCTCTAATGGCAGTTTCAGTAAGGGCTGCAGGGCCATGCTCACACACAGATCAGCATCACTTGACTGGTGCCTCCCCTGGAGGCCTCTCCACTGTGGGACCTTGGCAGACCTTCCCCAGGCATGTTTGCCCAAGACCTCCTTTTCATGGGGAGAGGAGGAGGAGTCTTGAAGACAATTGTCTTCCTTCTGATTCAATACTCAGTGCTTTTCCGCTCCCAGCCTTTTCCTGACCTTCCATAAAACTGCAGGCAGGAGCCTGTTGTTCAGGGTTCCTTTGATAGTGAGACAACTCCACATCTGTGCTGACCCATGTGATCCTTGATAGAGCTGTTTCATGAAGGAAAAAAAGGATGGGGACTGGACCGTCAGGGCTTTTTCCAGTTTAACCTCAAAGGTTTGTTAATGTCCTTTTGTCTTGATGTCTTAATTGCCTACTCCAACACCTGGCTCTCTCTCCAGAGTAGTTAAGCTCCTGATGGCTGGGGATAAATTTAATGACTACTGTTTTGTATAAGTTGAGGTTAATCTAATTAATTTACCTAGAGGGAAAATTCTGACCTCTATCTCTGAGACCTCATCTAAAACACAGAGGTCATGAAGATAAATCTGGCTTCTGCCTTCAAGGAGCTTACAGTCTGGTGAAGATGATAGCTGGATAGCTAGACATAACAATAAAACCACAGCTGTTCCCTTGTGATAATTTCTGTTATGAGTTATGTACATTGGAATATGAAAAATATATAAATGGTACATAACCAATTCTAGGAGGTCAGGGCAAGCTTCCTGGGAGAAATGCTGTCTATAGGTAGACACAGAGAGACAAGAATCAAAGCCTCTTCTGAAGAAGGGTTAAATAAATCTCAGGCAGATAGGCTATGCATGACCTGCTTCTTTTATCTGTCATTTTTGTTGTTCAGTTACTTGCTAAATTTTAAGAATTTTATATATATATATTATATTTATAATATATTATATATATAATATACATGTATATATATATATATATATATATCTTCTACATATCAGTGCTCTGTCAATTCAGCCTAATTCTGGCAAAAGCATTAAGGACTTCAATATTTACCAGGTTTGAAAGGGGAGCAGTCCTTTGAATTAGAATTATTTGAAAAATGTAGGGCTATTTTGAAACAACTACCCAATTGAAAATGCATGGACACTATAACTATTATACTTGCAGATGCATACAAAAATACTTTTATTGTCACATGGGCACAAAGATGTATATTGAAAGCTGTTCACTGAAACAGTATTTATAATAATGAAACCTGGAAGCAACATATCTCTTAATGGGGATATAGACAAGTAAAGTACAACATATACATGTTATAGAAAAAAATGCAGCCTTCTCAAAAATGGGTAAGCTGTATAGATATAGAAAAGAAAAAAGCATTGTATAAATAATATGTACACTTTAATAAAAGTTGTACTAAATTTTAAATGTAATATAAATATCATACCTTCTATATATATAAAATTATCAAAAAGACTGAATTATAATACATGAAGAGTAGGAAAAAATAGTTGCACTGAGTTTTATATTTTCTGAATGTTTAAATCTTTCCACACAATATGTAATAATTATACTTTTAAAATGCCAGTAAGGTAATATATACAAATAGCTAATTAAAGCTTAATAAGAACTTTGGAAAAATATTTTTAATAAAGGTTTTACATACATCAGGGTTACAATTAAATTTAACATGCTTTTTATTTTGTCAATTTCTTTTATTTAAAAAATACTTAAACTAACTTCCTTTTTGGTTTTTCCTATTAAAAGAAAAAGCATTTTGCCCTCATAAAAGAAAATTAGTTTCAGATTACTAGTAATTATTTAGGTACTAATTAAAAAATAATGAATCTCAGTTACTAAATACACAAATAAGGGAGTTATATGAAACTGTGCAATAGTCATTCTATGGATAGTCATATTTAAAATAAAATGAAAAGAGACTAAAATATGCATTTGTGCTTTTAACTCTGAAAACCTGAATACCTATTCAACTGTTGATTCTGAGTATTTACAGAACTTTATTTCTTCTTTGGACATGCTTTCGCAGTTTTTACCTAATGTATACACATTTTTGCCTTGTTCTTAATAATTAAATATCTGAGAAAAAGATATTCAAAAAGTGGTTTTTTGTGCGTACTCATGATAAACAGTAACATAAAAAGTTACAGAGGTCGGGCCCAGTGGCTCACGCCTGTAATCCCAGCACTTTGGGAGGCCAAGGTGGGTGGATCACTTGAAGTCAGGAGTTTTAGACCAGCCTGGCCAACATGGTGAAACTCCATCTCTACTTAAAAAATAAATAAATAAATAAACAGGCATAGTGGCTCACGTCTGTAATCCCAGCTACTGGGGAGGCTGAGGTGGGAAAATCACTTGAGCCCAGGAGGCGGAAGCTGCACTGAGCCAAGATCACGCCATTGCCCTCCAGCCTGGGTGACAAAGCGAGACTCCATCTCAAAAAAAAAGAAAAGTTATAGAAATAAATATGATGATATGATTTACTGAAAGCAAGTCTCAAATGCCTAAAAAAGGCCAAACTTCCTTTGGTCTTTGGATATCATTCTGGAGGGTGGGTGAGTCTACTTTTGTTTCAAATGTGTTATTTTCATTTATTTTTGAGCAAAAATATCATTTTATAATTTACACTTATTGAACATAAATGTGGAAATACTACTAAATTGTCTCCACATGGAAAATTTCTTGTGACATGTATTTCATCTAACTTGTGAAGTTCACAACTATTTCAAAAAACAGTTAAGCTTGTTCCAAAAACTCACTGCCATCCCACCAAACACACATATGGACTTGAGAATAATTAGGCTTTCAGAAACCACTTTAGTATCCAATTAATTGTAGTTTTCTTCAGAAAGTGGTGTAAATCTGATTATATATAGTTGCTTCATGTAGTATAAATCTGATTATACACAGTTGTTTCATATAGTATATATCTGATGATATACAATTGCTTCATGTAGTTCAACTTGTTACTAGATAATCCATGTGTAATTGTCACAGAAAATCTTACGTGTACATTTGGACAATGTCTCTATCTCTGTTTCTTTCTCTCTGTTTCTCTCTCTCTCTCTCACACACACACACACAGTCCTTTACAATTACTTTGGGAAAAAAATCACAAAAAGGAAAAAATCATTAATCTGAGATTATAACATAAAATCCACAATTTGTCTGTAAACTATCTTTAAATCTATGTTTATACTTGAAATCTACTAGGCTTATGAGAGTCAAAGACTTCCAAGCTTTGAATATTCTTTTCACTTCAAAAGGAACTGAAAATCTAAATGTAATTTGGTACACCTTTTAAAATATTCACTGCTGCCTGCCAGCTAGCTGCAGGTTATTTTAGCTACTAGAAGCAGCACTAATTTGCAATATCTTTCTAAGACTATCTATAGGTAAAAATTTGACATTGGCTGACTCTAACCAATGTCAAGCTTTAGGATAGCAACGTAATCCCTAAAAGAAAAATGAGAAATAACCTAACTATCTAAACATCAAAA
Source organism: Homo sapiens (assembly GCF_000001405.40). Classification (NCBI taxonomy): domain Eukaryota; kingdom Metazoa; phylum Chordata; class Mammalia; order Primates; family Hominidae; genus Homo; species Homo sapiens. Next base: position 949,118 of record NW_025791777.1, on the reverse strand, counting down.
ACAAATTAACCTTGCTTGCCCATTTTTAGGACAACATAACGGTTTCTTGAGATTTTCCAACATTTATGAAAAGATAAAAATTAAGATGAGTCATTTAATAGCATGCGTGCTTGAACCAATAAAATGATTTCTTATTTTATGAGTTGTTTTTAAAAAATGAGCCCAGATGTTTCAAATTATAAATAATTTGTCAATTTATGCATAAAGCCAAATTTGAAAAATGTGACTGGTCATTCCCATTAAGAAACTCAACTGAAAATCTGTTTCACTGAATCAAGCTTAAATAAGTAATTGTGTACTTAGATGTAGCTGAATTCTAAGAACTATTTGGACCACAACTTATAGACTATTTATATATTTTGCAAACTGTTTGCTGTTCTCTGACTTCAAGTAAGAGAGAGATATTAAGTGACAAATCATACAACGGAAAGGGAGAGCTATTAAGTGATAAATCATACAGTGGAAAGAGAGTTATATAGGAAGACTCTCCATTTTAACTCAGAATAAAATATGTAACCATCTTTAAGTTTTAATGGGGAGACCTGTGTGGCTGACTTTTTTTTTTCCCAATCTAGCTTCCTCATTTGGAAGAATGTTTTGTTTCTGTATATGAAAACTGAAGGATTTCTATTCAAGGCCACTGTGGTAGACAGAATAATGGCTTACTAAAATGTCGACGTCCTAATTTCTGGAACCTGTGAAAATGTCACCTTCCATGACAAAAAGGACATTGTAGAAGCAATTATTTAAGGATCTAGAGATGAGAATATTAAGATGGGTTATTTGGGTGTTCCAAATGTGAACCCAAGTGGAGTTCTTGTAAGACTGAGAAGATGCCTTCGAGTTAGGAAGGAGATGGGAGATGTGTTATGAAAGCAGAGGTTGGAGTGACAGAATTTCAAGATGGAGAAAGGGGTTATAGCCAAGAATCCAAGCAGCCTCAAGAGAGTAGAAGCTCTTGATTTTCACCTATGTGACTCTATTTTAGTCTTTACTTGCAGAACTGTAAGATAGTAGATTTGTGGTGTTTTAATCCACTAAGTTGGTAGTAATGTGCTCCAGCCACTATGAGACAAATACAGTATACACACACACACACACACACACACACACACATATATGTGTGTGGGTGTGTATTAGGAAAAGTAGTAAATCTAAATCTAGATTTTCTCATTCTCACCTAGGTTCTTATATTTTTAATTATATAACTAGTTACATAACATTATTTATATAATACTAGTTATATAACTAGTGCTCTATTATTTTCCTTCTATTTTAATTTTTCTGTTAAAAGAAAGTTTAAGAACATATGTATCCATATATGTATATACACATGCAGAAATATATATCTGTGTATGTGTGTGTGTTTATGAGTATATATATTCAAAGTTCTGAAACGTTTTTCAAAGCAATGCTGGCAATGGAATTCTCATTTCTATTTATCTTTTCTGTGGAGGTTTAAGTATGATTTATTTGGGAATTGCTACATTATCCTGACAAAAATATAACAGTAGTGGCAATATATAATCCCCCAAAAATGTTATATCTCCAGATAACTTTTAATGAGTTGGCATTGACTAGTATGAGAAATACAAGGCACAGAGAGTGATATGGTTTGGCTCTGTGCTGTCACCCAAATCTCATCTTGAATCGTAATTCCCATAATGCCCATGTGTTGAGGGGCCTGGTGGGAGGTGATTGGATCATGGGCACAGTTTCCCCTAGATGTTCTCATGATAGTGAATGAGTTCTCATGAGATCTGATGGTTTTACAAGTGTTTGACAGTGCCTCCTTCACATGCTCTCTCTCCCCTGCTGCCATGTAAGACGTGCCTGCTTCCCCTTCCACCATGATTGTAAGTTCCCTGAGGCCTCCCCAGCCGTGCAGAACTGTGAGTCAATTAAGCCTCTTTCCTTTGTAAATTACCCTGTCGCAGGTATTCTTTATAGCAATGTGAAAATGGATTAATACAGAGAGTCTACACATTTCTTTATATAAGATATACTTGTTTTCTGTTTATAGTTAGCAATTACAAAGTTTACAGTAAAATTTTTACTTACATTCATATAACATTTAAGTTATTCTCAAAATTTTATGCAACCATTTTAGATCTAAAGTGGACTTTGTTTTTTTCCATAGAATAAGTATTTTGTAGGACTTCTCTTCAATATTGGTGTGTAGAAAAAAAAATGTGAACTTCAAGTTTCAATCAATTAAACTTTTGCTTAAACTGAAAAACCATGCCAACACACAAAAAGGTCATCTGGGGTGTGCCATTACATTAGGATTACATACTGGTACTACACACTCAGTTGTGTAGGACATAAGAATGGATTATACTTAAACCTCTAAAGGATGGCCTGAATTAAAGTGATAGAAAATGGGAGTTAATATTGCTAGTGTTACCATGTAAAATTTAATAATTATTTGCTTAATTATTGTCTTATTAATTTAATAGTTTCTAAAGAGAAATTTCATTAACAAATTAACAGGAACAGCTACAAAATTTGCAGTGTTCAGTGCAAAATTAACATATAGGACATCTTACTCAAAAATTATTTAAAACTTGATACGAATGACACCAAAGAATTAGCCAAGTGATGGGCCCCTGCAAATGAGCAGATCACATAAATCTATCCCTGAACATCAATTAGTTATAAAAAAATAAGAATTTAAGGCTGGGACCCATAGCCATAATTTTACCCATACCTGCATTTATATCTGTATTTATATACCTGTAACAGTATTTAGATCTATTTATTCACAATCTCAGAATCAGATTGTAGAGACATTTAAAGATTAACTAATACAAACTTGTCCTCTTACAAAAGAGAAAACTGAGCCGCAGTGCTTTGATTGTATCAGTAGCTAATATTAGAAATAAAAGCAACACATTATCTTAAATATTTTATGTTTTTCTTATTACTACCAGTTTAGTGCTCCTATGTATTTTGTAGTACTTCTCTTCAATATTGGTGTGTAGAAAGAAAATGTGAACCCCGAGTTTAATCAATTAAACTTTGATTAAACTGAAAAACCATGGTCAATCCCAATACACAAAAGGGTCATCTGGGGTGTGCCATTGCATTAGGATTACATACTGGTACTATATGTTGCTGCTACATGCTATTTCACTCAGTCGTGTAGGACAGAAGAATGGATTATACTTAAACTTCTAAAGAATGACCTCAATTAAAGAGATAGAAAATGGGAGTTAATATTGTTAGTGTTGCCATGTAAAATTTAATAATTAATATAATGTCTCATATATTCCGTGGTGATTAATTGGTGTGGAATATTTAAGCCACGAGAATAAGTACTATAAAAGCAAGAATTTATAATAGGGTCTTTAATGATCAGTTCTGTTCTTACACAGCTTCTCCCCACTCCTACTCCTTGGAAGCAACCAAGTGGTATGAGTTGGCCCCTACTCACCCCCTCCCTGGTGTCAGTGGACCACATCAGGGAAGTGAGGTTATTTTTTCACTTGGAGGAAACAAAGATATGTAACTCAGTACCCTACTTTTGCCATGAGGTTGCCAGTGGGTGGAGGGAGAAGACAAACTTCCACCTAACCAGTCTGCAAGAAGGAAGTATAAGTTAGTACTCTACTTTTGGTAGGATGGTATTAGTAGGTCCCATCAGGAAGATAAACACGCACACCCACCCAGCTCTCAGGTTACACATCAATAGGGAACCATCTACGAAATAATAAGAGAGAAAAATTCTCATAATATAAAAAAAAATTCAGGACACAATAAAAATCACTTATAAGACAAAAGAACTAGGAAATCATAACCTGAATGAGAGAAAGACAACAGACACCAACACAGACATAAAAAAGGGGTTGGGGCTGGGCGCAGTGGCTCACACCTGTAATCCCAGCACTGTGGGAGGCCAAGATGGGTGGATCACTTGAGGTCAGGAGTTCAAGACCAGCCTGTCCAACATGGTGAAACCCCGCCTCTACTAAAAATATAAAAAGTTAGCTGGGTGCATTGGCACATGCCTGTAATCCCAGCTACTTGGGAGGCTGAGGCAGGAGAATCACTTGAACCTGGGAGATGGAGGTTGCAGTGAGCCAAGATCATACCGCTGCACTCCAGCCTGGGTAACAGAGTGAGACTGTTTCAGACAAAAAAAAAAAAAAAAAAAGAGGTTGGAATTATCTAACAAGGATTTTGAAGAAACCATCATAAAAGTGTTTAAATAAGCAATTATATATTGTATTCTCTTGGAACAAATAAAAGTTAAAATTAAAAATAAATTCAATAATGACTTATAAGTTATAAAAAATAAACATGAACTAAATAAAATTAAAATACAATAATGGAAATAATAGATGCAGAGGATGGTCACAAAAGAAGAGAGCACAGAGCAGAAGATGGAATCAGTGAATCTGAAAACATGCCAACAGAATTTACTGTCTGAACAAGAAGAAGAAAACCGATAAAAAAAAATTTAACAGCATTTCAGGAAACTTTAGAACAATAATAAAAGAGCTAACATTCATAATCACAGGAGATATAGAAGACGAGGAGATAGAATGTGGGACTAAAAAACTATTAAAAAATAATGACTTCAACCTTCCCAAATTAGATGGAAGACATAAACCTAAATATTCAAGAAACAGAGCAAACCCTAAATAGAATACACCCAAATACATTCAATTTCTGGAAATGAAAAAAAAAAATTAAAAATCTTGAAAGCAAACAGAGAAAAATGGCACATTTCTTACAGAAAAACAATAATGTAAACCACAGCAGATTTTCCATCTGAAACCATGAAGGTTGGAAGGAAACAGATAATATTTTTGAAGTACTGAAAGAACAGAACTGTGAACTGTAAATTCAATACCCAGCAATAATATTCTTCAGGCACTAAAGTGACATAGAAAACATTGTCTAATGAAAGAATGCTAAGGTAATGTGTTGCTAACAAACTTACCTTTAAAGAATAAGTTCTCTAAACAGAAAAGAAATGATAAAAGAAGAAGGTTTGCAGCTTTTACAAACATCCATCTAAATGGGTAAAATTAAGCATAAATATAATGTATAATCAAACTTCTCTTAAGTTTTTAAGCCATTTCTAATAGTTGAAGCAAAAATTAATGACCTATCTGGTTAGATGCTCAAGGAACATAGAGGAAGTATTTAAGATAATTATATCTAAAAAGTAGTGATAGTAAAGAGACTCATATGGAAACAAGTTTTCTACACTTCACTCAAAGAGGTAAAACATCATTAACAGTAGATCTTGACATTACACATATATTATTTTAACCAGTGCAATTAATAAAACCAAACAAAATCATGTACAATCATGCACTGCATAACGATGTTTTGCTCAGCAGTAGACTGCATATATCATGGTGGTCCCATAAGATTATAATGGAGATGAATATTACCTAGTGACATTGCAGCTGAGCTGTCTTAACATCATAGTCTAACATATTTCTCACCTGTTTGTGGCAATGATGGTGTAAACAAACCTACTTCATTGCCAGTTATATAAAAGTGTAGCACATAAAATTCTGTCTAGTACTGATATTGTTTGGCTGTGTCCCCACCCAAATCTCATCTTGAATTGTAATCCTCATGATCCTCCCGTGTCAAGGGCAAGACCCGGTGGGAAGTGATTGGATCCTGGAGGCAGTTTCCCTCATGCTGTTCTCATGATAGTGAGTAAGTTTTCATGAGATCCGATGGTTTTAAAAGTGTTTGAAAATTTCTCCTAGACACACTCATTCTCTCCTGTTGCCTTTTGAAGAAGCCAACTGCTTTTATTCCACCATGATTGTAAGTTTTCTGAGGCCTCTCCAGCCATGCAGAACTATGAGTCAATTAACCCTCTTTCCTTTATAAATTACCCTGTCTTGGGTAGTATCTTTATAGCAGTGTGAGAACAGACTAATAGAGTAAATTGGTACTGGGAGTGGGGCACTGCTATAAAGATACTGAAAATGAGGAAGTGACTTTAGAACTGGGTATCGGGCAGAGGTTGGAAGTGTTTGGAGGGCTCAGAAGAAGACAGGAAGTTGTGAGAAAGTTTGAAACTTCCTAGGGACCTGTGGAATGGTTTTGACCAAAATGCTGATAGTGATATAGACAGTGAAGTCCAAGCTGAGGTGGTCTTGGATGGACAAGAACTCATTAGGAACTAGAGCCCAAAGATCACTGTTACTCTGCCTTAGCAAAGAGACTGGAAGCATTTTGCCCCTGTCCTAGAGATCTGTGGAACTTTTAATTTGAGAAACATTATCTCAAATTGGAACTTATGTTTAAAATGGAAGCAGGGCATAAAAGTTTGGAAAATTTGCAGCCGGACCATGCAGTAGAAAAGAAAAACCCATTTTTCAGGGGAGGAATTCAAGCTGGCTACAGAAATTTGCCTAAATAACAAGAAGCCAAATGTTATTACAGTAGCCAAAACAATGGCAAAATTTTTCTTGGGCGTATCAGAGACTTCCATGGCAGCCCTTCTCATCACAGACCCAGCAGCCTCTGAGGGAAAAATGGTTTCATGGGCTGGGCCTAGGGCCCCGTTACTCTGGGCAACCTCAGGACTTGGTGCCCTGTGTCCCAGCTGCTGCTACTCCAGCTCCAGCCGTGGCTAAAAGGAGCCAATGTACAGCTCATCTGTTGATTCAGAGGGTGCAAGCCCCAAGCCTTGGAGGATTCCATATGGTGTTGGGCCTGAGGGTACACAGAAGTCAAGAATTCAGGTGTGGAAACCTCTGCCTAGATTTCATAGGTTGTATGGAAATGCCAGGATGTCCAGGCCGAGATTGGTTGCAGGGGTGGAGCCATCATGGAGAACCTCTGCTAGGGTAGTGCAGAAGGAAAATGTGGGGTTGGAGCTCCCACACAGATTCCCCACTGGGGCACTGCCTAGTGAAGCTATGAGAAGAGGGCCACTGTTCTCCAGACCCCTGAATGGAAGATCCACCAACAGCTTGTACTGTGCACCTGGAAAAGCCACAGACACTCAATGCCAGCCTGTGAAGGAACTGCCCAAGGCCATGGGAGCCCACCCCTTGCATTAACATGCCCTGGATGTGAAACATGGAGACAAGGAGATTATTTTAAAGCTTTAAGTTTTAATGACTGCCCTGCTGGGTTTCAGACTTTCATGGGGCCTGCATCCCCTTTGTTTTGACTAATTTCTCCCATTTGGAATGGGAGCATTTATCCAATTCTTGTACCCTCATGGTATCTAGGAAGTAACTAACTTGCTTTTGATTTTACAGGCTTATAGGCCAAAACGTCTTGCCTTGTCTCAGATGAGACTTTGAACTGTGGGCTGTTGAGTTACTGCTGAAATGATTTAAGACTCTGGGGGACTGTTAGGAAGGCATGATGTTGGGTTGGAAATGTAAAAAATATGTGAGATCTGGGAGGGGCCAGGGGTGGAATGATATATTTTGGCTCTATATCCCCACCCAAATCTCATCTTGAATTGTAATCTTCATAATACCCATGTGTTGAGGGCAGGATCTGGTGGAAGGTGATTGGATCATGTGGGCGGTTTCTGCCATACTGTTCTTACGATAGTGAGTGAGTTCTCAGGAGATCTGATGGTTTTGTTAAGTGTTTCACAGCTCCTCCTACACACAATCCTTCTCTCTCCTGTTGTCTTGTGAAGAAGATGACTGCTTCCCATTTCACCATGATTGTAAGTTCCATGAGGCCTCCTCAGCCATGCAGAACTGTGACTCAATTAAACCTCTTTCCTTTATGAATTACCCAATCTCGGGTAGTGTCTTTATAGTAGTGTGAGAATGGACTAATACAAGTACATTTTACTTAGTAATAATAATAAACAAATATATTACATTTTTGTGTATTTACTACACCATATTTTTTATTGTTATTGTAGTGTACACCTTCTACTTATTAAAAGAAATAGGCCCGAGGTGGGCAGATCACGAGGTCAGGAGATGGAGACCATCCTGGCTAACATGGTGAAACCCCATCTCTACTAAAAATACAAAAAATTAGCCAGGCCTGGTGGGGGGCGCCTATATTCCCAGCTATTCGGGAGGCTGAGGCAGGAGAATGGCGTGAACCCAGGAGGCGGAGCTTGCAGTGAGCCGAGATCACGCCACTGCACTCCAGCCTGGGCGACAGAGCGAGACTCTGTCTCAAAAAAAAAAAAAAAAAAAAGTAATAGGCAACTGTAAAACAGCCTCACAGTGGTCCTTCACGAGGCATTTCAGAGGGCATTGTTATCATAGATGTCGACAGATCCATATGCATTATTGGCCTAGAGGAGCTTCCAGTGGGACAAGATCTGGAGGTAGAAAACAGTGATGTTGATCATACTGACCCTGTGTAGGCCTACGCTAGTATGTGCATTTGTGTCTTTGTTTTTAACAACAACAACAAAAAAATTAAAAATTAAAAGATGTAAAATTACAAAAAAATCTTAGAGAATAAGGATATAAGGAAATAAAGTATTTCTGTGTACAATATGTGTTTTAAGCTAAGTGTTGTTACAAAAGAGTCAAAAAGTTAAAAATAAGTTAAAAAGTTTATAAAGTAAAAAAGTTACTGTAGGATAAGTTTAATGTATTTTGAAAGAAATAAGTTTCTTTATAAATTTTATAAATTCAGTGTTTATAAAGTCTACAGTTTTGTACAATGATGCCCTAGGCATTTACGCTCACTCACCACTTACTCACTAACTCTCCCAGAGCAACTCCTAGCCCTGCAAACTTCATTTATAGTAAGTGCCCTAATCAGGTATACCATTTTTGATGTTTTGACTGGATTTTTTACTGTACCTTTTTTTATGTTTAGATACACAAATATTTACCGTTGTGTTGCAGATGCCTACAGTATTCAGCACAGTAACATGCTGTATAGGTTTGTAGCCTAGGATCAATAGGCTGTACCACATAACCTAGGGTGAGTAGTAGGTTATGCTATCTCTATTTACACATAGAATACACTATATGATGTTACACAGTGAAGAAATTGCCTAATGCATTTCTCAGAATGTAATTTTTGTCATTAAGTGATGCAACATTGTATTTAAAACACTATAAATAAATTAAGATGGAAACTTAACATGTTTATGTAACCCATTGGAAAGCAAGAAAAAGACACAGAGGAATAAGAAACAGAAACAAACAGAAACAAATAACAAAGTGGTAGACATCAACCACAACATACAAATTGTTAAACATAAAAGGCCTATAGAAACCAACTAAAAAACATAGATTGGCAGAGTAGTTAAAAAAACAAAAATCAAAAACGAAAAACCATGGCCAACAATATTGTCCAAATTGCATTTGTACCCCATAAATAAATAATTTTTAAAATTCTGTCTATATAAAACTAACTTCAAATACAGCATAGGTAAGATAAAAGTAAAAAGAGAGAACCAGTAAAATAATTTAAAAATGCAAGTGAGGTTATAGTAATATATCAGCTACATAAATTTTATTTTATTTATTATTATTATTATTATTATTATTTTGAGACAGAGTGTCGCTCTGTCACCCAGGCTGGAGTGCAGTGGAGCAATCTCAAACTCACTGCAAGCTCCACCTCCCAGGTTCATGCCATTCTCCTGCCTCAGCCTCCCGAGTAGCTGGTACTACAGGTGCCCACCACCACGCCCAGCTAATTTTTTTGTGTTTTTAGTAGAGACGGGGTTTCACCGTGTTAGCTAGGATGGTCTCGATCTCCTGACCTTGTGATCCTCCAGTCTCAGCCTCCCAAAGTGCTGGGATTACAGGCATGAGCCAGGGTGCCCGGCCCAGCTACATAAATTTTAAAAAGTAAAAAAAGTCAAATTGCGTTTTTAAATATTTTACATTCCATTGCCATTCAAAGAAATAACATTGTTTTCAATACGATTAAGCAAGTATCATTAGACCTAGAAATAGCCACAATCATTTCTTTAAAAGATTATTAATATTTATTTATTTATTTATTTATTTTTAGGCGGAGTCTCACTCTGTTCACCAAGCTGGAGTGCAGTGGTGCAGTCTCAGCTCACTGCAATTTCTGCCTCACCCTCCCAAGTAATTGGGATTACAGGCACGTGCCACCACATATGGCTAATTTTTGTATTTTTAGTAGAGACTAATTTTTGTACTTTTAGTAGAGACAGGGTTTCACCATATTGGCCAGGCTGGTCACAAACTCCTGACCTCAGGTGATTGGCCCGCATCAGCCTCCCAAAGTGCTGGGATTACAGGCATAAGTCATCGTGCCCAGCTAAGATTACTAATATTTATAAGCTCTACCTTCTTTCTTGGAGAAATGACTTTATAATTTCACTTTCTAATTCAGTTACCTGTTGAAACTAAATTAAAATATATTCATATGCAAAATGCAAGTAAATAAAAACAGCAGCTTTCTCTATGCTAAAAGGAAGTTCCTTTGGAGCTCATTTCCTTGACAACGCAAGAAAGTACTTCACTGCACTATCTTCATTATGCAAATAAAGGTGCATTTTAGCTCTTTGAAGAAGAAGAGGAAGAACATGTCTCTCAAATGGCAGGAAAGAACAAATTTCCTTAAGGAAGAGTGAGGGAAAGTTCATCAACACCAACCCTAGGTACATCTTCATTCAGACTTGAAAAGCTTTTGAATAGCGTCTGTTTATTCCTGTTAGAACTGAACTGGCAGGAAAAGACAATGGAGAAGCCACAAAGAGGAGTAGCTAGGTAGCAGCATTCAGGTCCACAATGCCTGGATTTCATTATTATTATTCTACTGTATCTTCAGGCAGTTTATGTAAATCATGTTATTGAGTTCTCTCATCTGGAAGATGAGAGTACTAATAGTTCCAGCGTTCTTACATTAGTGCTGCTGCCATTAGTTATCATCATTTAAGTGTCTGTTCTTATTGTTCAAAGAGTGACTGGCAGTTGAGAGTCCCTGGGACCTGAAGTAGGGAGGTAGAGAATTTTGCATTGGAGTATACTGTTATCTTAACCTTGGAGGCCTGAGTGTTCTTAGGTAAAAGACTGCTTTGGAGGCTGCAAATGGAACTAGAATCCCACCAGATCACAGCCATCTGACTTGGTTGCATTTTTATGGAAACCAGCGTGTTGAGGATGTGAGACTGATATAAAAGCACTAGGATATTCACAGGGTAAAAGTCAGGAGGATCATAACAGCACAGTACTAGAGAACCAGTACGTAGTGGTGTGATGAATGAAAGCCACTGACATAACTTTCGCATCTTGTCTTCCTGTATTCTTTCTTTCTGTGACAGTTGTTGAGATCATGACCTCTTCTGGAATGGTGTTCTCAGAAGTCCTTGGACAATCAGGGTGTACTAGGAGAAAACATGCTGTGAGATGGGATGAAAGTCTTCAGGATGGACACTATACTTTCTGTTATTGGAGGATTCGGTAGTTTGAATAAGCGTTTGAATGAATAAAATATTTGAGTTGAGGACTAAATTCTGATTTTTTTTTTTCATCTTGCCCAAATTCCTATTTAAAGAAACTGGGAGTCAGCCCTACGAATGATAACATCTCTTTACATGGGTTTTTTATTAACCCTATATAATGTGGCTTGCTTTCCAACCTGACTCTGGTACAGCATCACATAACAGACAGCAGACCCTGAAGGATATAAAAATATTTTGCCCTAAAATATATTTCTTTGATGTCTTTTGAAATGGCTGTTGCAAGGCCAGCAAACTGAGGTAGAGGAAATTTGCATCTATGGAGAATCTTCATTAATGCAGCCATGCTTCCCCTTTCTATGCCTTTCCAGGACCTAGGAGTGATTGAGAGTCTGATACCTTTAAAGGTCTGAAAAGAAACATTTACCATCTATTCTCTCTGAGGGCCACCTATGAGGCTTCATCTACTTAATAAGATCCTTGGTCTTTCCCCCACTCTTATCTGAACTCAGGCATTCCTTTCTATCGATTTCAAGACTTTAGACGATAGCATAACTCTCTCAACCAATTGTCAACTAAAGGATCCCTAAAAGCCCCTTATGACGTACAAGCTCCTACCCTGACCTACCTGCAATTACCTGCAGTTGGTTGTCTCCTTGGAATGTATAAAACCAAAGTGTAACCCGGTTGCCTTGGGCACGCTTTCAGAACCTCTTGAGATAGTGTAACCCAGGCCTTGGTCACTTATACTGGCTCTGAATAAACCTCTTTAAATATATTTTGACAGAATTTGGTTTTTGTGTATTTTTCTGTGTATTTCTACCTCTGAGAAGAGGAGTAATTTATACTCTTTAAAAATCATGGTCAGGTATGACTGGTGCTAGAATGAGGATGAAGGGAAGAGAAAGGGAAGAAATAATTCTCCACTCTTTGTTTCCAATTTTAGTTCTTTAAAGTAAAAGTACAAAACATTTTGTAGAGATGTAGTTTGTGGTGGCATGGTTGAAAAACTTCTGCAGTTTATGATTCCTCCACTACAGTGTGATAATGTTTTAAATAGCATTTAAAATGTAGATTCTGTCCAATCCTTACAATTAACTTTTTTATTGTTTGGAATCCATGAAGTTGGTATATGCATGAGCAGATACATATTTATTTAAGAAAAAAAATTAGGCCTTACAGAAAATTGGTTTCTCAGAGACATGATAAAAGTTACCAGATAATGTCTCTCAGACTATATCTATGAAAAAATACATAACCAAATAGACACCAATTGCAAATGAATTAATTACATTGAAATTCTAATAACTTTCATTTCCTAAACTGACATTGATGGAAAAGAATTCTAAGATATAAAATAAGCTCTACTTCATCCTGCTTTCAATAGCACATGATTTAATCAGAATATATAAGTAATACTGTTGAGCACATAAATATTATTTTCATTACTTGATGATAATTATGACTATTTTCATTGCTATAATTTTGGTCATGCCATATTGATTAGCAATAAAATATATACTTAGCTAGAGAGGCAGCTAATCCAAAACTTTTGGGATTTCTTTTTTTTTTTAGATTATTGGTGCTCCTCCTCCTGTCATTGAGGTTAAAATTAAATGTTACATATTCCTTCTCTGTGTATGTGTATCTTATTTCCTCATATTCTACCTCTTCAGAGTAGTGTGTGTGAGTGCATGCACACACACTTGCATGTGAGAGCTTCTAATATCTAAATTAATGTTGAATCATTATTCAGAAACAAAGAGAGCTAACTGTTATCCTGACTTTATTCTTTATGAAGAAAAATACAGTGATTCCAAGTTACCAAGTTAGTGCTGCTTTATTTATAAATGAAGTAACATTTTACAAGTTGTGCATAAGTTAAAATTCAGAAATAAAACTTCATCCTAAAACTCTGTGTGTTGCTTTAAATAATCAGAGCATCTGCCTACTTAATTTTTTTTGTGTGGGTGCACAATAGATGTTTAATGAGATCCTGTCATCTGTCTGCTTTTTTATTGTAAAACAGGAGGGGTTTTAATCCTGGAGGAACAACTGATGTACCTCTGAAAAAGAGAGGGATTAGTTATTAATTGAATTGAGGGTTGTCTTGTCTTAGTAGCTTTTATTCTCTAGGTACTATTTGATTATGATTGTGAAAATAGAATTTATCCCTCATTAAATGTAAAATCAACAGGAGAATAGCAAAAACTTATGAGATAGATGAACATTGTGTGAGTGGAATGGTTTAATTTGTTTGGAAGAAGCACTTGCCCCAGAAGATACACAATGAAATTCATGTTATTGAGTAGAGTAGTAATACAGTGTGTTCCCTTGTGAAGTTCATAACCAAGAATTATTTTAGTAGTGGATAGGTAGGCTGAATAATTGACTTCCTATCATTTTCAGGTTCTGTGTTTGATTTTTTTTACATATTAATTTCTTTGATCCACATTAAGCTCAGTTATGTATTTCCATTTTATAAATGAAAAAAAAAAAATAGGCACTTGCAAATGTCAGATCACTTGCCTGTGGTCATTCGGGTAGAGATTTGTGAAGCTAAGTTGGTCTTAATCAAATGTCAAGCTTTTTTTTTTCTTATAAAATATAGATTTTAATATGAGTTTTAAAATAAAATTAATTAGAAAAAGGCAAATTACTCAATATATAAAATGTATTGCATTTGTAATAGGTAGGTATTTCATTTTCTAGTTATGGTGGGATATTATTCAGACTATAATTCCCAATGAAAAAACTTTAAAAAATGCTAGTGATTGCACATTTAAAACACCTTTTAAAAAGCATTGAGAGCTTATAAAATTTTAATAAGTGATCAAACCAAATTTGAAGAGAAAAGAAGAACCCAGAGAGGTAAGGATATAACCTTACCAGTTGCAATTTGCCGATCTCTACAAATATTAATATTTATTTTGACAGTTTCAGGGTGAATGAGAAAGAAACCAAAACCGAAGATTAGCATATGTTAAGTCTTCTTAAGGAGCCCTCCCTTAAAAGATTGAGATGACCAAATCTTATACCCTCAGCATAAGGTGAACCAGACAGACCTAAAGCAGTGGTAGCTTGGATCCACTACTTGGGTTTGTGTGACTGCGTGACTCAGGTAATCTCAAAAATTGAACATTTTTTTAAGGTGGTCCTACTCGTATGCCCAGGTGTTAGGGAGAAGCAAATCTGAATGCTTTATAAAAATACCCTGAAGCTAAATCTTACAATATTCTCAAGAACACAGTGAAACAAGGCAAAATAAGTTAAAATCAACAAAAACAACATGAAACATAATTAGAACCACAAAGACTTCAAACATTGGACAATATCAGAGAAAGATAATAAATATTTTACTCTTTAAAAATTTAGTTAAAAGCTTAAACTAATTGTAGAGAAAAAACTGTGTTAGTATTATATTGTAGATGAAATAAGCAAAACATTTAAAATACAAATGTGGTTACTTAAATTAAATATAATAGATAATTTACCACCAGATTAGATACCATTGAAGGAATAATTAATATACTGAAATACAGGTCAGTAGAAGTTTTTTTCAATTCAGCATGGAGATGTAAAAAATGAAAATTAATGCAAAAAATAAGGGCACAAAAAGAAATGAGTAATTTTGATCAGAAATGTATTAAAATTAATAAACTGGAAATTTGACATTTAAAAAAAAGCATTGTCATCCAAGTAGATGTGTCTATTAAATAGTTGTTCTCATATCCAGTAATGTAATTCTTATTCCCCCTCATGCAGTTCAGATTCTGGGGTAATCTTTAGACATCAGTTTTATCTTTTATATTATTTATTCTGTTTACTACATTTTATTTTGCTAATGATATTTTTAATTTCTGACATTCTGGAGTATTGCTCGTAAAAGGTATTTTTAAAAATATTTTATGGTTATTTTTGTGATTCCTATTCCTGTATGGACACCAAGGCTATTGACATTTTCTTTAGTTTCTTCTGTTAATTCTATTTTCTTAGTGTTTATATCATTTCATAGATAGGATATTCTTTATTTTTTATTTTTATTTAAATATTTGGTGATTCTTGGTTTTCTCAGCCATCTATTGTCAAGTGTTCTTATTAAGCATTATTATTAAATAAAGATTATTTCCTCTAATCACATGAGAATCTTTATTTCCCCCAAGTAATTGAAAATTGCAATGCCATGCTGCCATGTGGTACAGCATGGGTTTGGGCTTGCTTTCTTCTTTTTTTTTTAACTTTTATTTTAGGTTTGGGAGTACCTGTGAAAGTTTGTTATATAGGTAAACTCGTGTCATCAGGGTTTGTTGTACAGATCATTTTGTCACCTAGGTACCAAGTACTCAACAATTATTTTTCCTGCTCCTCTGTCTCCTGTCACCCTCCACTCTCAAGTAGACTCCAGTGTCTGCTGTTCCCTTCTTTGTGTCCATGTGTTCTCATAATTTAGTTCCCCACTTGTAAGTGAGAGCATGCAGTATTTTCTAGTATTTGGTTTTTTGTTCCTGTGTTAATTTGTCCAGTATAATAGCCTCCAGCTCCATCCATGTTACTGCAAAGAACGTGATCTCATTCTTTTTTATAGCTCCATGGTGTCTATATACCACATTTTCTTTATCTAAACTCTTATTGATGAGCATTGAGGTTGATTCTATGTCTTTGCCATTGTGCATATTGCTGCAATGAACATTTGTGTGCATGTGTCTTTATGGTAGAATGATATATTTTCTTCTGGGTATATATGCAGTAATGCGATTGCTGGTTGGAATGGTAGTTCTGCTTTTATCTCTTTGAGGAATTGCCATGCTGCTTTCCACAATAGTTGAACTAACTTACACTCCCACTAACAGTGTGTGTTTCCTTTTCTCCACAACCTGCCAGCATCTGTTATTTTTTGACATTTTAATAGTAGCCATTTTAACTGGTATGAAATTATATTTCATTGTGGTTTTAATTTGCATTTCTCTAATGATCAGTGATATTGAGTTTTTTTTTTTTTTCACATGCTTGTTGGCTACATGTATGTCTTCTTTTGAAAAGTGTCTGTTCATGTACTTTGCCCACATTTTAGTGGGGTTGTTTTTCTCTTGTAAATTTGTTTAAATTCCTTATAGGTGCTGGATTTTAGACATTTGTCAGACGCATAGTTTGCAAATAGTTTCTCCCATTCTGTAGGTTGTCTGTTTATTTTGTCAATAGTTTCTTTTGCTATGCAGAAGCTCTTAATAAGTTTAATGAGATCCTGATATGTTTAGGCTTTGTATCCCCACCCAAATCTCATCTTGAATTATAATCTCCATAATCACCACATGGAGAGACCAGGTGGAGGTAATTGAATCTGGGGGTGGTTTCACCCATGCTGTTCTTGTGATAGTGAATGAGTTCTCACGAGATCTAATGGTTTTATGAGGGGCTCTTCCCAGCTTTGCCTGGTACTTCTCCTTCCTGCCGCCTTGTGAAAAAGGTGCATTGCATCCCTTTCACCTTCTCCTATAATTGTAAGTTTCCTGAGGCCTTCCCAGCCATGCTGAACTTCAAGTCAATTAAACCTTTTTCTTTATAAATTACTCAGTCTCTGGTGGTTCTTTATAGCAGTGTGAAAATGGACTAATGAAGTTCCCATTTATGAATTTTTGCTTTTGTTGCAATTGCTTTTGACATCTTAGTCATGAAATCCTTGCCTGTTCTAAGTCCAGGATGGTATTGCCTAGGTTGTCTTCCAGGGTTTTTCTAATTTTGTGTTTTGCATTTAAGTGTTTAATCCATCTTGAGTTGATTTTTGTATATTGTGTATGGAAGGGGTCCAGTTTCAATCTTTTGCATATGGCTAGTTAGTTATCCCAGTACCATTTATTGAAAAGACAGTCTTTTCCCCATTGCTCGTTTTTGTCAGTTTTATTGATGATCAGATAATCATAGCTGTGTGGCTTTATTTCTGGGTTCTCTATTCTGTTCTATTGGTTTATGTCCCTGTTTTTGTGCCAGCACCATGCTGTTTTGGTTAACATAGCCCTGTAGTATAGTTTGAGGTCAGATAGCCTGATGCTTCCAGCTTTGTTCTTTTTCTTAAGATTGCCTTGGCTATTTGGCCTCTTTTTTGGTTCCACATGAATTTTAAAACAGTTGTTTCTAGTTTTGTGAAGAATGTCATTGGTAGTTTGATAGAAATAGCATTTAATCTGTAAATTGCTTTGTGCAGTATGGCCTTTTAATGATATTGCTTCTTCCTATCCATGAGCATGATATGTTTTCCATTTTGTTTGTATCCTCTCTGATTTCTTTGTGCAGTGTTTTGTAATTCTCATTGTAGAGATTTTTCACCTCCCTGGTTAGTTGTATTTTACCCTAGATATTTTTATTCTTTTTGTGAAAATTGTGAATGGGATTGCCTTCCTGATTTGACTGCCAGCTTGGTTACTGTTGGTTTATAGAAATGCTAGTGATTTTTGTACATTGATTTTCTTTCTAAAACTTTGCTGAAGTTTTTTTTATTAGCAGAAGGAGCTTTGGGGCTGAGACTATGGGGTTTTCTAGATATAGAATCATGTCAGCTTCAAATAGGGATAATTTTACTTCCTCTCTTCCTATTTGGATGCCCTTTATTTCTTTCTCTTGCCTGATTACTCTGGCTGGGATTTCCTATGTTGAATAGGAGTCATGAGAGAGGGCATCAAATCTACACATATCAAATACTAACCTTGAATGTAAGTGGGCTAAATGCCCCACTTAAAAGGTAAAGGGGGGCAAGCTGAATAAAAAAGCAAGACTCAATGGTATGCTGTCTTTGAGACCTATCTCACATGTGATGACACCCATCGGCTCAAAATAAAGGAATGGAGGAAAATCTACCAAGCATGTAGAAAACAGAAAAAAGCAGGGGTTGCATCCTAATTTCAGACCAAACAGACGTCAAACAAACAAAGTTCAAAAAAGACAAAGAAGGGGCCGGGAGTGGTGGCTCACACCTGTAATCCCAGCACTTTGGGAGGCCAAGGTGGGCGGATTACAAGGTCAGGAGATCGAGACCATCCTGGCCAACATTGTGAAACCCCATCTCTACTAAAATCCAAAAAAAAAAAAAAAAAAAATAAGCTGGGCTTGGTGGTGTGTGCCTGTAGTCCCAGCTACTCGGGAGGCTGAGGCAGGAGAATCACTTGAACCCGGGAGGCGGAGATTGCAGTGAGCTGAGATTATGCCACTGCACTATAGCCTGGCGACAGAGTGAGGCTCCGTCTCAAAAAAAAAAAAAAAAAAAAAGACGAAGGGCATTACATAATGATGAAGGGTTTTACTCAACAAGAAGACCTTACTAACCTAAATATATATGCACCCAACACAGGAACCCCCAGATTCATAAAGTAAGTTCTTAGAGTACAAAGAGGCTCCCACACAATAATAGTAGGAGACTTTAACACACCACTGATAGTCATAGACAGATCATCAAGGTAGAAAATTAACAATGATATTCAGGATCTGAACCCAACATTCCACCGAATGAGTCTGATAGACATCTACAGAACTCTCCATCCAAAAACAACAGAATATACATTCTTCTCATCTCCACATGGCACATGCTCTAAAATTGACCACATAATGCCTTTCTTTTCAGTGGTCCATATGTAAGTCTTTTGAAAGTGGCAGCATCTCTACTGCTCATGCTTGTTGCAAGGAACTCTACTGAATACAAGGAACTTTACTAATCTCTAATGCTTGTGAGTAGATTCTGAACTCATCATTTAGAAAGCTAAACTGGGGGCTTTCTTCCCAGAGCAAAGACATAAAACAAACCTCAATTGAGCGTGGGACAGGGAGTCATGTGCTATAAATTTCTTGGACAGTTCTTATTCTATGGACCAATTACCATTCCCTTGTATCTCTAATTTTGGGATTATTTCTGGATTAAAACACAAAAAAAATCAGACTGTAAAAAGTCATCATTTCTACCAGTGTGAGAATATGTATTCCTCACCTTTACTGGGATTCACTGCCAGTATATATGCAAATGACTTATACACACACATACACACACGCACATACACACACACGTGTGTGTGTGTAGGTATGTCTGTAATAGGTATTTATATGTTTGCCTGTCTTTCTATTAGAATTGAGATACAGCAAAATGCACAGAAATTAAGCATTCAATTTAGTAAGTTTTCACAAATGTACATATTTAATCAATATCTCAATCAACACAAAAACCATTGTTTCACCTCTGAAGATAATTTTTAATCTTTTGCAAATTATTGAGACTTATTTAATGACCGAGACTACACAGTCCTTCGTAAACATTCCATGTAAATTTGATAAAAATATTTTCATGAAATTTTTTGTGTAGTGTTCTAAAACTTGAAATTAGACTACATTAGTTGATAGTATTATTAGAATCTTCCAAATCCTTACTAATTTTTATTTGTTCATCTATTGTTTATTTTGAGCCGATGATTAAAATCTTCAACTATGAGTGAAAGTCTATTTCTCTGTTTAGTTCTGTCTGTTTTTACTTCATGCATTTTGACACTCTGTTATCAGTTGTATAAAAACATTGAGAATTATAATGCATTGCTAATGAGCTTAACCTTTTATCATTCCATCTCTGATATTTCAGCTTATTTTGAATCCTACTTTCTCTGGTATTAGCCAGCTACATCAGTTTTACTTCCTTTCATTTTCAACCAATTTTATGACTCCATCTCAAAAAAAAAATGCATTCATTATACAGAGCATATAGTTTTGTCCTTTTTAAATCCAGTCTCAAAATTGCTAGCTCTTAATTTAAGTGTGTTATGGGTTGAATTGTCTGCCAAAAAAAACATACGTTGAAGTCCTTACCCCAGTAATTAAGGATGCAACCTTATTGAAAGATAGGATCTTTATAGATGTAATCAAGTCAAAATGGGATCATTAGAGTGGCCTGTAATCCAATGTGACTGGTGGCCTTATGAAAGGGGGAAATTTGGACACAAAAATGCCACCAGAAAGCACAACATATGAACATGAAGAAAGCCATCTAAAAGCCACGGAGAGATGTCTAGAACAGATTCTTCTTCACAGCCTTTAGAAGGAACCAGTACCTTGAATTCAGACTTCTAGCCTTCAGGACTTGAGATAATACATTTTTGTTGCTTGAGGCACCTAGTTTATGGTACTTTGTTATATAACCCTAGGAAACTAATATAAATGTTCAATCCATTTACATTTAATCAGTGATGTCAGTGTTGTTAAATCTACCATGTTACTATTTGCCTACTATTTTCTTATTTGGGTGTTGTTCTCTTCCCTTGGTTGTTGATATTTCTTTCTTCACCGGTTCAGTGTTACCTTCCTTAGAGTAAATGGATATTTTTCAATATTTCATTTTAATTATGCTATTGGCTTTATACCCTTCATACATGTGTTCTTGTTGATTCGATGTTCTTGGATCTCTGCATTGAAATTTTTCATCAAAATTTGAAAACACTGGCAATTATTTCTTCAAATATATTTTTTCTTTCCCATTTTCTGACTCATCCTTTTGAGACTTCATTTGTGTATAGGTTTGATGGCTTGATATCCCATGTCATTCAATCTCTTATTTTAATCATTTTCCTCTTTTGTTTGAGATTAGATAAATTCAAAAATGGTTTTCAAGGTTATTTGTCTGCTTTTCAGAGAGCTGAAATCTGAGAGTATACCCTGCCAGTGACTCTTTCATTGTATATTTTGCACTTGTTACTTCAACAATGTTCATTTCTCAAAATTACCTTTTTTGTTCTATCATTGTGACAATATCTCCATAGTCTAAGGACATATTCATAATATATATCTGTTGATTTCAATGCCTGGGTCATTATGATGTATGTTCTATTGACTGCTTTTTCCCCCTTGATTATTTATTAAATTTTCCTGCTTCTTTGCGTAACTTGTATTTTTGACTAATACACTGTAGAAAATCTAGACGTTGTCTTCTTGTAAAAGGCCCTAAGATAGTCCTTTGAAAGCTGTTAAGTGGCTTCCAGATCCTTTTGATCTGCCATGCCTGGTTTCATTATTTGTTAATGAAAATCTCTTTCATTTTTGTTCTTAAAGATAGGACATAGTCTTTACTGAAAGAAATAGTCCTTGTTCTTAATGCCTGGAATATTCCGTAAAATATCTTCCCTGTGGCTAGTCAGTAACCCAAACATCTCCTTGTCCTGTTACTACTGATATCTTATTCCCACAGTATCTGCTTTCAGCAGGTCTTGCAGATGTTAACCCTGCTCAGGTATAGAGCAGCTTTTGACGAAATTGGTGCCAAATACTTATTCTGGCTTCTGTAGGCCTACCCCATGCCTCTTTTTCCTTTCCTATACAAATTTCAGCCACTTCAGCAGCTCTTAAATAACAACCACTTAAGCAAGTGTAAGCTATTTACAAATATCGATAGATAGATAGATAGATAGAGAGAGAGATGATATAGATAGAGATTTAATTGTAATTTTAGATTCAGGGGGTATATGTGCAGGTTTGTTACAAAGTTATATTGCTTGCTGCTACTGTTTGGGCTTCCACTGATCCTGTCACCCAGGTAGTGAACTGAATACCTAACAGGAAGTTCCTTGGCTCTTGTCCCTCTACCCCTACCTCTTTTTGGAACCTAATTAAACTAAGAGCTTCTGCATAGCAAAAGAAATTATCAACAAATAAGCAGACAACCTACAAAATGAGAGCTTTAAGCTTTAATTTCTTCCTCTAAACTCATTATTTTTAGAGTCTGCCTCCTTGTTTAATGGGAGAAAAAGTGCCCCTAGTCACATTCTCTGGTTAAATGTGGTACTTACCTCACAGCTTTCTTCTCTCTTGAGTATGAAAAACTTGTACTTCTTGTTTGATGCATAAAATCTGGTTCCTCATATATGTTGCCCAGTTTTATCATTGTTTATAGTGAAAAGGCAAGTCCCTCCAATAATTCTATTATGGCCAAAGACTAAAGTGCCTCTGATATGACTTATGTCCTTCAGAAATTGCTTACTCTTTAGTCTGTTGGTAGAATTCTTCTCAACTTTCCATAGTTATTTTAATAAGTACTATATTTTCCTATTTCAATGGCAATTTGGAATAAAGGAGAAATAAATGTATTTGTTTGGTCCATCTTTGTGTATTCAAACTGTTAAGTCATTACTTTTCACGTCCACTACACATATTACTGCACAGTAATTCCTTGTTTACACCTATAATCTCCCTCTCCTGTTTTCCTAGTTTCTATTCAAGTATTTGGGGTAACTGATATTTCTTAAAACAATATGTATTCTTGGAAAGAGATGTTTCTAGAATCCCCTTCTTAGGTGACTTATTAGGAAAAATTATAAGAATAAGAACGAGAATAGAGAAGAAAAGTAATTGAAGACATCCACTTCAACTCTAAATCCCCATAGGAGAAAAAAGGCTAGCACTTATTTAAATGCCCTTCTTAGGTGACTTATTAGGAAAAATTATAAGAATAAGAATGAGGATAAAGAAAAGTAATCGAAGATACCCACTTCAACTCTAAATCCCCACAGGAGAAAAATGGCTGGCACTTATTTAAACTCATCTAGGGTTTAGTTTTGCTGATGTTGTTTTTCCAATAATAATCTGTTTCAATTATTATAACAGCAATTTCAGTGAAATATGGTACTTACCAGCTAAGTTTTACACAGGGAAGCACTTTCCTAAACACTTCCCCATCCTTCTTCAAAGTTTGAATCCAAATCTTTTGTACTCCAGGGCTTATTTTGTTTTTCCTACAGCATTCTGCCTTTCTAGAATTAGCACTAGTTACCCTCAGGAAAAGCAAATACATGGACCCATAAAATAATCTTTGGAAGTCTTTCTTCTCCTGCTGGTTACCAAATTATAATCTTCTTATTGTAATAATAAAATAAAATACAAAATAAAAAGAACTATTTTACTCTAATAAGTTTCCCATTAAGCTAAGCCTGCTTTTGTTGTATTAGAGATTAACATATGTAGACAGTGTTCTTTTTGACTGGAAATGGGGATTAGTTATGGTTCAAGTAATGCATAAACAAGATGTATTTTTAAAAATACGTCATATTTATGCATTATATTTAAGCAGCCATTTGTAAAAAGCTGAAACTTATTAGAAAGTGAATTCTTCATAATCATGTGTGTATTTTCAATGTTTAGGATTATTTGTTAGCTTAGGTATAGACTAGATTATTTTTCTAAACAAACAGGAATAAGAAATATAGGTAGTAAAATTTACATGACCTGGTAAAATTTAAAATATCCATTCTGACTAACAGGCAGTGATGAGAACAATAAATAAAATATATCTTGGTTTAAATTCTAAGTAAATATATTTGACAATATAAATATAAACATACTCATATGAGTGAATTGCTTCTAATTCTGGCTTTTAGCTAAATAAGCACTTAATGCTAGTAAGAAAAATACATTATTTCATAAAGATAACAAATTCTTTCAGAAATAGTAATTATATTTTTAAAGAGTTTGGGGAAAATAGAAGTGTATACTCTAATCTTATAGCAAAGTTTCTGCTAAGTTTTTGTGATGCCAGTGTTTTCATTATGAATCATTTCACTGTCAAACAAAATGTACGCTGTTGATTAAACACAGGCAAAAAGAGACGGAAAGAAAAAGGTATATTAAAAAAAAGACCTTTGGTTATTCTGGCTGCCACCAATTGCTTTCTTGTTTCAGCTGAATTTTGAAGTAGCTAATCATATTTTGGCATTTTCTTGTCATCAAAGCATTTCGTGAAATTATCCCATTACAATGTTTTTCTCAGAGGCAAAATTAACATGGTTGACAGTTTAATTGACATATTTCTTTTTCGTTGTGTGCCTTTGCCAATTAAACAAATTGCACCCTATTTTGATGTTCATTTTGTTAATTATTTGTAAAACTGTAGACTCTGATTTTTTTTTTTTTTAATTTTCAGGTGTCAGTTTCTTGGTCGGGAATGAAAATAGTGCCAACCTGTGATACCTTCACTCTAATTTTACTTTCTGAGGAAGTTTTCTGTAATAGTTATTTGGTGATAATTATTAATACTGGTGAGTTTTAAAATTTTTGCTTTCAGCAATTTTCCATTTTTTTCAACATACTTATATCGCAATGAGGCAACCAAATATGAATCCTGAGAATGAAGATGGAAAATGAATATTTTAATCCAATATCGAGTTGTTCTTTCAACATTTTTAGTTTTAGTTTTAATCGAAAATATAAAGTTACATAATTGTGTGAGGAATAATTTTTGCAGAGAAATTTTTAAAAATTCACAAAAGGAAAAAGAAACCTTTACCATGAGTCTATAACATTGAAAGACTGTGTTTAAGTTATTTTAATAAAGCCAAACCAACACTTTCAGCAGGAACTAAATGGCAGCATCTGATTTCACGCTGATACATATGTATTAGTGTGGTGCTCACTTTTACCCTTCATTTTACCTTGGGTCTTGCCATTTTCTTTCTTTTTATTTTTATGTTTTTTTGTGTTTTGTTTTCTTTTGGAAGAGGTAATTTTTAGGGAGAAAAAAAACACTTTTTCCTCATAGGTCGATTTAAAATGTTGGCCTTACCTTAATCTCCTCTCTCAAACTCAATCCACTATGTAATGGGTCAACATACTTTTCTGTGAAGGAGCAGATAGTAAATATTTTAGTCTTTGCAGGCCATATGGTCTCTGTTGCCAGCTCTTCCATTGTGGTGTGAAAGCAGCCATAGACAACACAGAAATGAATAAGTGTAACTGTTCCAATAAAAACAGATGATATGTTGAATTTAGCTCACAGAGTTTAGCTTGCTGCCCCTGCAGGAGGCCTTTGGAGTAAAAGCTTCCTGAGAGGAGGACTTTTTGTCTTTTTTGCTCAAGTTCTAGCTCCAGTACCTAAAATAGTGCCTGTCACGTAGGTATTGATGAATATTGGAACCTGTTGAACATACACCTAAAATAAAACATTTGGCAAGATACAGTACTACACAATTTGGAGAACACTTGGCTCCCATAGAAATCAAAGCCTTCCTGAGTAATTAATTATTTGGCCTGATGATGAATTACTGTGCCTGAGATGATAGAGCTAATTTATTTTTCAATTCACTCAGGGGACACACGTTATTTTCACTGTGAATTTGGTTAAAATGAAAAGATTTCCTGCTCTAAGTCCTGGATAGACCTTTATGTAATAGCATACTCTTCACTCTTTTTGAATCGCATGCAGTTGTCAGACTGGATGATTTCCAGACAGAGGTTCCAAGTCTTTCATCATGTTTGGGTTAAAGACCTCATTAACATACTAGTCCTGCCATTTGAGTCTGTTCTCTTCACGGAATATTTTCACCTGAATCAGTGGGTATAATTCATCAGTGTCTGGTTGCTTCAAGTTATTTTTCTTAATGCTGATGTTAATGCATGCCCATCTTTATGCCTCAACACATTGCACAATGAAAAACAAAAATTATTTTGGAAGACACAGCTGACATCTATATGAAATATTCAGTATCAGTGATTGAACTTCAGCAAGCTCCTGTGGCCAGCAGGGTTTTACGGAGGTGCAACTGCTCTCCCACGATCACTTATCATAAAGCCAGAGACAATTGGGCCAATGTAGCCTCTTGCCTGCTTTTGTGTACAAAATATAAATAGAATAGAGCAAATAAGGAAAAATAGTCCCGCAGCTGGAAGGCAACTTTAAAGAAAAATGATGTTCATAGCTGTCTTGCCAGTAGCTGGCAAAGCAGTTTTTATAAGACATATTTAATGTTTACAACCACTTGGAGGCTGGGGAAGGAGTAATACTTTGAAAATATGTTTAATGTTGTGAACCACTCTGTGGCCGAGAAGCAACTCCGGCTAAAATATATTTAATGCTTAGAGTCATTTGGCGGTTTCGAAAAAAAGAAACTTCTTGTTAATTTTTAACATTTATTGCTGATCAGTGGCTGCTAAAGTAACTATCAGTACAGCATGATTTATATTTAGGGACACGCTGTGCTGCTACTAAAACAATTCATACTCTTCTCTCAAGGCTACACAAAAAGTGTCAATAGCATTACCTTTGCAATTGCACCACTAATAAAAACATAGGAATCAAACAGACGAATAAAATGCTCCCTGCCCACACAGCCATAACATCCTATGGCCCTGAAAATAGTTCTGCCAAGCTGCGTGCAGTGGACACTTCACGGCTGGCACAGGAGAGATCACAAGGCCTTGCTCAATTTCATCAAAAGTGTTAAAGCGACTCAGCAGATTGTGAAGCACAAGTGGAAGCTGATAATTGGTGTTTCTTACAAATCAACGGCTTGTCTCCACACATCAAGGTAAAGGCGTCCTCTACACCAAAGAAAATGTAAATTGGGATAGAAGGTCATTATGTTTTTAAATAAACTTGGTTAAATTTGTAGAAAGGGCAATGGTAAATACTGAGCTCACATGTCAGATGGAGAGAAAACTTGAGAAAAGGGAAGAAGATAATGAGCTGGAACCTTTACCATTTAGACTTTCTCTGGCTAGATTTCTGAGAATGATCATCAAACTCTTATGAGGACCCTTTCCAATGTATTGACTGCACTTCCCCAGGGATTGTGGCAAATGGTAAATATATATTTTCTCCTTGCTACTTGCAATAACCCTGCTCATAAAGTGTTACTATTATTCACTTGCAGGTGAGAAAATCAATGTAAAAGAGGAGAAATAACCCACACAACCACATACAACTAGGAAATGATAGATGGATCTGAAAAAAAGGATATGCACTCTTAACAAGTTCAACACCCAAGTACTATTGCAAGTACCAGCTGTATTTCATGGAAAAAAAAAAAAGAATAACTCAAAAGGCAGAACGAAGAGCCTAGAGGTCAGAGATGAGAGGCATGAATAATTATTCACAGGCGTTGAATATAATCAAATGACTTGCAACATTTACCACTGGGATTTTAAAATGTGGTGGACCAATCATTCTTTTAGTCTGTGCATTTTCCCATTTTTTTCAACAGGAATGTCTAGAGACATTATTCCTGTTTTGCCACTGTATTTTTGGTGAATGTGTAGTAAGTAACTGGCCTCTTTAGTATCACAAAGCTGGATGAAGAAAATGTGGTACATATACACCATGAAATACTATGCCGCCACAAAAAGGAAATGAGATCATGTCCTCTGCAGGGACATGGATGAAGCTGGAAGCCATTATCCTTAGCAAAGTAACGCAGGAACAGAAAACCAAACACCACATGTTGTCTCTTAGAAGTGGGAGCTGAACGGTAAGAACACATGGACACAGGGTGGAGAACAATACACACTGGGGCTTGATGGGGGGTGGAGGGGAGGGATGGGGAGCATTAGAAAAAATAACTAATGCATGCTGGGCTTAATACCTATGTGATGGGTTGATAGGTGCAGCAAACCACCCTGGCACATGTTTATCAATGTAACAAACCTGCACATCCTGCACAGGTACTCCAAAACTAAAAGTAAAAAAATCTAAAAGAAAAAAAAAAAAAGAATTAAACCCAAAATCACTTCCCCATCTGGACTTGATTTAGATGAAAAGCTTCTGGACTTTGAGCTGATGCTATAGTGGGTTGAAAATTTTGGGGTCCTCAGAAGGGGATGAGGATATATTGCATGAGAGAGCAACATGAATCATTGAGAGCCAGAGTATAGAGAGTGGTAGGTAGACTGTAGGAGAGCCCTCAATGATCCCGGCTTTCTTGTATTCGCGTTGCACTTACTTGTATAATATGGCAGATGGGATGTGATGTCACTTTCAAGATTAGGTTATAAATAGACTATGGCTTCAATCAGAGGGTTTTCTCTCTGTCTAGCTCTCTTTTGGGTAGTTCATTCTGAGGAAAGCCAGCTGCCACGTTATGATGTAGGCCTGTGAGGTCCACGTAGCAAAGAACATATGGAAGATTTCTACCACCCCCTAACTAAGCCTTTAGATCAGACCGCAACCCCAGCCAACAAGGTAGCTACAAACTCTTGAGAAGCCTTGAGACAGAGGTACTCAATAGAGCCATTCCTATGAGAAACGTAAGTATCTGCTGTTTTACACCGCTAAGGTTTTAGCTAATGTATTATGCCATAATAGATAAGTTATATACAACCTTTATCAAATAATAAAAGTAACCATCATCAGTAATGAGACAAATCAAAAACCATGGCCCACCCAACAGAACATAATGAGGAGAGTACAGAATTGCTTCTGGGATATTTCTGACAAAGATGTATATGCTTCATTCATACATGAGGAAACATCACACATACTCAAGATGGGAGAGCCATTCTAAAAAATAACTAGGCAGAAATCTTCAAAAATATTAAAGTCACGGAAACCAAGAAAAAATATGAACCTGTTTCAGATTAAAGGAAACTAAACAGACCTAACATTTTAATACAATGTTTGATTTTGAACTTGAACTTTTTGTTATATAAGACACTATTGAGACAAGTGCTAATGCTTGAATAGGGCTGAAGGATTAGATTATAATAATACATTAATGCAAATTTCCTGATTTTAAACATTGTAGTTTGATTGCACAAGGAGAATGTCTTTATGTGTGGAAAATAAATAGTCAACATTCTGTCTTCAAGCTTCTGAGAAAACTCTGCTTTTAGGGCATAGATAGAAGTGGATGATAATTCACCTGTTCCTCTGCTACTAATTGAGCTGCTCTCTGTTTCCATGGCTGGCTCATGGGATGAGAGAATATATCTAGTTTTTTATGTTTCAATTTGTCTCTCTATGGCATTTTTGTGAAAATAAGGAAGTGTGGAGACTTATATATGTTTCTAAATTGTAATAGTTCATTAATGTAAAGTACAGACACAGTCTTCACTTTTCCTTCTTAGACCGTTTAAATATGGCCACGAAACAAGTAGTCTCTGGTTGGCTGGACACTGTGGCTCATGTCCTTAACACCAACACTTTGGGAGGCCGAGGCAGGCAAATCACTTGAGGTCAGGAGTTCGAGACCAGCCTGGCCAATGTGGCAAAACCCCATCTCTTCTAAAAATACAAAAATTAGCTGAGTGCGGTGGTGCACACCGGTAATCCCAGTTACTCGAGAAGCTGAGGCAGGAGAATCACTTGAACATGGAAGGCAGAGGTTGCAGTGAGCCAAGACCGCACCACTACACTCCAGCCTGGGCAATAGAGCAAGACTCCATCTCAAAAAAAAAAGAAAAAAGAAAATAGTCTCTGGTTAAATAACCTCTGAAAGACTCCACCAAAAATTTCATCTTAGCATTTCTCCCCAAACTTCAGGTAAAATAAAATAGAGTTGAGAGAAAAATAGAAAGGCAAGGGAGTACCTGTTCACTATTTTTATTAAACCAGTGTTCTACTTTATTTTAGGTGTATCTTTTCTTATTTAAATGTCAGCTAAACTTTCTTTTTAAGATATTGAATGAAAGATGCCCGTCCTTCAGGTTTCGTTTAAGCAAGAATCCCCATTCTCAAATAATATAATATAAACTTTCCAAATTCTTAAGTAGATCATCTGAGATTGAAAGCTAAGTTTAACTTTCTCAAAGATATTTTAGCCGCCATGACACCTAGACAAAGTGGTATATTAAATTCTGATTAATTTGGTCCTAAAGCACCTAAGAATCATTCTTACTTTCTTATCCACAGGGGTTATTAAGTTTTCACATTAAAAAAAATCCAACAGTGAATAATACTGCATTGGGGTTACTGTAATTGTTAAGTAAAATAAGAAATACAAATCTTTAGTTAGATCACATGGCACCTGACTACTGCTTAGAAAATGGTAAGACTTACTACATAAATCATGAGTCACTATTGACATCTACTATATCATATCATAGGTTAGGTATCTAATTATAAATAGTCAAATCAGCTGACTCAAGGTGGCATAGCTCAAGCAGAGGAAGATAATACAAGTTGAGTATGGATTTAACACTCTAAACCTGTCAGCACTGTAGGAAAAGTAACTTAAAACTGCACACCCCACTTATGCATAATCATCAGATATAAAGAGGGTACATTCCTGTAATTTATTGTTGCTCTAGTGATCTTAAAGAATTAAGTCCACATTCATAAAGTCCAAACTTGTCTCCAAGGATTTGCTTTGACTTTGGGAGTATCTGGATCATTAAGTAATTTCCGGAGGTCAGAGTAAAAGCTTTTTATCTCTAAATATTACTTCCCTGGAATATTAGATGTAGCAGAAGTCAGTAACGGAGTGACCTTTCTCTTAAACAATTCATAGATTCACTGAAATTTTCTTCAACTTTAGGAAAATTAAATATATTCCACAGTGCTGTAAGTCTTAAATATTGATTTTCCTCTGAAATCTTGACTCATCCTACCCACCAACATTCTCCCTTTGTACACTATGTTCTTTGTAATGTTCATGTTACACAAGTGAAAATTAGTAACATTAGTAAATTTTCATTGCAGGTTTATTTGTTCATATTTCTGGATATATAATCCATTACTGTTAAACTTCATATCAATGTTCCGATATTTCTTCATCTTATGTTTTATGTTACAAAACAGGTTATTTCACTATATGTATGTTTAATTGATTAATTCTTCCCTTTTTTTGGAAATGAAACAGCACTCTCAATTATTGGGACAGAAAAGTTATTTCATAGGGAATACTTCAAACACTGATATCTACAACAGGCAGTAAGATTCGTCACAACAATTGGTATACTGTCAATATACCATACAAAGTTCCATCTGGTCTTGATTAAAAATTATTTTAGTTTTCTCAGGAAAATGATACAGAGGGAGAATTGCCTAGATTATATGAGAGAAAAAAAAGTAGAGAGAAACATAATGTTTTCTTAGATTATTACAGCAGTGAACTATTTCCACCTGGTAAGAAGGGTGCACTTGAGAATGGGGTTCAAGTACTCTAGGAACATAGATGTAAGTTCTGGATGCACAGTAGTTGTTGCTTAGCTGTAAGCTGGAAATTTCAAGGCAGAAACAGCAGATACCACAACTATAACTGGGTCTCCTTGTTTTTTGTTTTATGTGTATACGTGAGATTATGGGGAAAGACAAAAGTAATGCATAGAGATTTATTTTTTAACATTCAATTCATAAGCAGTGTTTATACCTCTTTGTACTTACTTGAAAAGTGTATATTATGTAAATTTAGTATAAAAACACTTGGACTAATTCATACCATGTGGTAAAATTTCACATTCAAAAGAAATACCCTTCTGTTATTAAAAATAAAAAAAAAAGGAGCCAGGAGGGTGGCTCATGACTGTAATCCCAGTGCTCTGGGAAGCCAAGGTGGAGGGATCATTTGAGGCCAGGACTACTTGAGAACAGCCTGGGCAACATAGCTAGATCCCTTCTCTACAAAAAGTAAAAAAAAAAAAAAAAAAAAAAAAAAAATAGCTAGGCAGGGTGGCACATGACTGGCTATTAAGGAGGCTCAGGTGGAGGGATCTCTTCAGCCCAGGAATTTAAGGCTTCAGTGAGCTAAGATTGGGCCATTGCACTCCAGCCAGGGCAACAGACCAAGACCCAGTCTCAAAATAAATAAATAAAAATGAAAGAAAGCAGTGCACTGAAAATCAATTTAAGTATTTACTGGAGTTGTCTTGAAGGCCCAATGGGAAATGTCAGTAAGGGCACATGAGAAAACACTTTAAGAACCTATTCTTCCAAAGATCTTTCCAGTATCTTATGACAACACAGTAAATTATACCCACTCCAAATGCAAAAGCTGAAACTACTCTGCTTTCTCACTTACCTACACTTTTGACTTTCGAAATACATTTCTCTCTTCGGATATGAGCTGCAAACTCCTTATATAAAGGCTCCAACTCTGCAGCCCTAATTATTCTAGTTGGCCCAAGAAAAATCCTAATTGTTTTATCTAAGGAGACGGAATTTTCCAATACTGTAGAGGCATGTGTGTGTGTTTGCTTTAAGGAAGCTGTTTTGGTAATAAAAAGTCACTGAGGGTCATAAATTCATGTTAACACATCCAGTGTACATGAAGTAGGCACCGAGTTAAACTATTTGTCTACTATATAGCATGTCATCTTAAAAGCCTTATTTTTTCCTCAAAATATTAACTTTATTTTTCTCCCTGTAAAATCAAGACACAGTTAAAATGTAGCCTTCCTCATTTTCTGGGAATACTTTCTAACAAGATATGCTTCTTTCCAATTGGACTTCTAAATTTCTAGCAATTCTAACAGTGCATAAAAGAGGCAACCCCAAAAGTGTAGCAGGTACTGAATAACAGATTTGCAGCCTTGGGTATCCACATTAAAATTTGAAATCTAAGTGAATTACTTCAAGCTGATTTCTTAGGTCAAGGAGAGATTATGGTCCTTAAATGCCTGATAAGGTCACATACACAATTTCAAGTGCATTATAGTAAATCCATGTGACAGCTCCTACAGCTACTAACCTGCTTCCGCCCTCACGGTAACGTGCACAATCTTCATCGCATGTCCTGGGTGGTGGTAGGAGCAGTAGAAACCCCCTGGGTCATGTCAGATTTAGAAAATATAAGCAATGGCTCATACACGAATTTTAAGTTGTAACCTACATGTGATAAGTTGCTTTATCTTCCAAATGTAATAAAAACCAGAAGTTACTTTGAAATAAATTGAAGGATTAGCAGTGGTGACTGAGGAATAAAAATTATAATTTAAAATTGTCCTTAAAGCTGGAATTCTTAACTTATTGACCTTATATCCTACATATTATAGGACTTTGTAAATTTAGGCTGATATGGAAATGTATATTTATATCAAATTTAAATTTTTAGAATGATGGTGCTACTATATTCTAATTGTTAATTTGATAATTGTAATTGTAATTTGTTAATTTGTTCTAATAATATTTTCATGACATTATTCATTTGCTGCTTGGCTTGATGGCATAACAAGTATGGGTTATTTACCCTGAAAAGGAAACAGTATCACCCTTCCAGAATCTCTATTTACAGCTACAGAAGATGCAACACACCTGTTTCTGGACCACTTCCAGATCAGATGTGATGCATGCTTTAGATCATTTACTTTGATCTAGGAATTACTGTCTGGCATTTCGTGGTGTAGGGTAGGTGTCTCCAGCACTGTATAGGTGTCTGGAATTGAGATAAGAATCAATTTCAATACAAAATACATTTTTTGCTTAAAGCACGCAAGGATTCTATGAATTCAGGTAAATTCACAGGGTGGAAAACAGGAACTAATGTTATATATTCCTGTAGTTATCTTCATAATGAAGCAGAAAGAAAAACAAAAAAGTTACAAAAATAAATGAAAAGAACTGTATTTTCTAGAATTGAAAAATAATTCTTTTAGATGATAGATAAGATGTTTACATCAACCTGCAAAAAGTCAATGTTGAAGAGGTCTCATTGTATCTCACAGAATTTTGATTTGCCTACTCACCCACAGGAGACATTTCTGGGACAGTAGCAACATAAGGTCCATCCCAAAACTTTGGCTCATTATCATTAATATCCTGCACTTTGATGATGAATTCTGATTCAGGCTCCAGGGGCTTTCTGGTTTCTATGTCCACAGCCTGAGCACGAAGAGTGTAGAAAGGTTTTTCTTCTCTATCTAGGCTCCTTATTGCATGAATGTCCCCTGTGGTTTCATCAATGGTAAAAACGGTGCCAGCGCCATCTCCTGAGAGGGTGTATTTCGCAGTGCCCTCTCCCTTGTCTAAGTCGGAATGGAGCTTTAGGGAAGAGAGGGAGAGAGAGAGGAAGAGAAAGAGAAGGACAAAGAAAGAACACCATTAAAAGGAAGTTGCCAAATTAAAAAGTCATAATTTGCAATACAATTCCTTTAATCAAAAATGTTAAATAAAAATCTTATGGTTCTGTTTTCTTGTTTTTTATTTCTCCAACTTCTTTTTATAAAAATTTCAACACAAAAAGTTGAAAACTGCAATGAACACATATACATATACATCCAAACATTCCTCCATTCGTCTATTAATCTGCTTGCCTTATCAGATAGGTCTCATATCCATTCTTCTGTTCATCCTTCTCTTAACCCATTTTTTTTTTGAGGTGTTACAAAGATCAGAACAAAAGTACAACCTCAGATATAGCAGCAGGCAAAAAAAAAAAACAATAAATTTTGAAAATTTGTATTTAGTTCTTCTGTATCCCTTTGGGATAACATTTTCATAAAATGAAATGCACAAAACTTCAGTGTACTTATTGTTTCATTTTAAATAAACATTGCAATAAAAATAAATTAGCTCATAAACACCACAAAATAAACTTTCCAAGTGTTCTGAAGATGAAATCAATGACCTGAATCCAGTGGGAGATAGTGCAAAGGAACTCAGAAAACACTAAGCATTTTCATTTGTAAAGAAGGGAAAAATCTGGCAAATCAAGAGGTTTTCAGTGATATAGGGCAGAGCGTCTCATTTTAACAGGCTGAGTTTGAATGAGTTTACCACTATGATTGGTAGAATCACTGATTATCCTTTCAGATTCACAAATAGCTTGTTCCAATTCATTCTATATAGAGAATATTTATGTTGAGTAATATAGGAAAGCATTGAAATTCTGCTAATTTTGTTTTAAAATTCAACACATGTATGGTACATTACATTATAGCATGGAATAAGATACACATGAATAAGCGATAAGGAAGAGAACTAAAGAGTAGAGAGAATTATCAGTGTAATGCCATAAAGCAGCGTTGTTCAAACCGGAGACCAAGAATAAATGAAAAATGGACACAGTCTTAAAAGTATATAAATTATGTGTAAATAAATATATACATAAAATATTACATAAAATAAAATAGTACATCATATACAATTTTCTAGTAGTATATATTTGTATAAATATATTCTTATGCATAATATAATTATATATACATAACAGTCATAAATAATATTTATATTAATTTTTATGCAGATGCTGATTTAAATGTTTTAAACTATTCTTGCTCATTTGGGTATAGCCATTTGATTTCAGCATCCAAATTTTTACATGTAACAGCTTTTTCCAGACAACAGATCACCCAAAAGAAAATTAAACTTTTGCAGCATTTCTAACCATTTGGGCTACGCCTTAAAAATCTGCATATGAGCACTGCTCTTTGCAAATCATTGCTTAAGAATGAGTTCTGTTTTCCTAACATTTCAACACACACAAAAACTCTGAAAATATTTTAAATTATATAAATATCCTGTTGCAAATAAGCTTCCTGTGTATTAGTATGAGTAATTATAGCCCAAATAAATACAAGTTCAACTGTGGCTACATCTTTGCTCTTAAGCTCAAGAGCGTGCTTTAAGTTCAATAAAATAATATCATTGTTCATATTAATGTTATTAAGGTAAACTTATTCATTTTGTGACCCTGCATTTCCTTCAATATTTGTTCTAAAACTGTTTTGTATGAGAGTATAAGCATAACCATAAAAACCTGGTTGGGTAATATAATAAAAATAATGTGGCAACAATAAGAGGGAACAAGATTTTGGCGTTCCTTTAAAAGTTTCTGTATATTTTACTTAAGTATAAAGAAAATTGTTATGAATGATAGGAGGAAGGATTTTTGTCCACCTATTAAAAAAAAACTGCTGTGAAGCATAGGAAGTTTCAAGCATAAAATCAAGCAGTAGATAAATGTTCTTTGAACTTACGAATTTCAAATTATAAATTTCAACCATGCTATTAAAGATATTCAACACAGTGGATATTCCTTTTGCTTTCAAATTTATCTAAATATATGAGACAGGCAAAAGCTCAATGCAAAAGGCATGACTTTATAAAATGGATCCATTTTGCCAACAGCTCAAAGAATTATGGTAATATTGTGGGAACTGAGTGAAAATTCAGAGTAGGTTTTGAAATGTGATACAAGTAGAATTTTAAAAAGAAAAAAGAAAAAAATTTCTGTATTTAGCTAAAATCATAACTGTTTCCTTTGCAAACTGACATAAAAATGAAGAAGCAAAATGTGTCTTTAGTTATATCCAAGTTCCAAATTCAAGTTAATTACTGCTGCTCCTCACTCTTCTACCTTTTCCTTCAAATTTAAAGATGGGCTTTGCAGAGATTAAAGCTTCAGAAAAAAATATGGGAAAATATGTTAAAATGTTGACCTGAAAATGAAGTGGATGACTATAAAACTCTTGAGAGAATTAGACTTTTTGTAGCAGTTTATTACATGATAATACCTTAAAGGAGATCACATTCAGTGACCTGCGTTGACAGGTAATATTTAAAATTAAGTATTAATGCTGATTAATTCAGGCAGATGGGTGGTAGCCTAAAGTATAGACATTTTTCCAATATTAATTTTGATATTAAATAAATGACATCGGCTCTTGTTGGATATTGTAAAATTTCCTTTACTTCAACTGTAAAATAATTTCAACAGTGAAAGGTATAAAGTAAGATGAAAATTTCCATCATGATCTTACCTAGAGATAACTTCTCTTTTTTTGAGTCGGAGTATCGCTCTCGTTGCCTAGGCTGGAGTGCAGTGGCGTGATCTCGGCTCACTGCAACCTCCACCTCTCGGGTTCAAGCAATTCTCCTGCCTCAGCCTCCAGAGCAGCTGGAACTACAAGGCGCATGCCACCATGCCAGGCTAATTTTTGTAGTTTTGATAGAGACAGGGTTTCACCATGTTGGTCAGGCTGGTCTCAAACCCCTTACCTCAAATAATCCGCCCGCCTCAGCCTCCCAAAGGGCTGGGATTATCGGCATGAGCCACTGCGCCCTGCCTTCTTTGTTAATTTTATATGTTTCGGTTATGTAAATATATAACTGAAAGGGTAAATATATATAAATACATATTTACTGCACATTTATATTGATATATATTTCTCTGCTTGTATCTATCTATATACACACTTTATAAATAAATGAGTCAAGATTTTTAAAACAAAATACCAAATTTTTCAGTATCATTTGAAATTTTTCAAAATTACTTTTTTAAAATTTCTGCATATTCATTCAGTGAAGTTGAATGATCCAGTGGGCACTCTGTATTCCTTCATAAACTGTGTGGTGAATGTGCGTGTGTGTATGTATGTATATGCACGTGTTTATGTGTTTTCTGGGGTTAATTTCCTTAAAATAAAAAGGCAACTGTCAAGACTAAAGCTATAATAATTTTTATGAATCTTAGAAAATGTTGAATTTTTAGTGATTCCAGAAATTGATCTCTATCGATGAAACTGCTTTCTCAAATACGTCAGCAATGGGATTCAGGCTTTGCTTACAATGTGAAGGAAGTTCTTAGTCTCATTTGCACAAAGAAGGAAGGAGGGCTAAAGATAAAAAGAACTCATAGTCTTTTCCATAGTTTTGGGTCATGTTCACTGTAAAAAAAAATCACAAGATGCCATTTTTACACAGCCTTTTTAATCTACACATACGGCAAGCTAATAATTCCAAAAAAATAATTTCTTTCCTTTGTAGCCATTTAAAACTAACAGCTAGAAATATTTCTTCTTCCAATTATTAAAAATAAGCTGTTTCTGAGTCGGTGCTGACTACATTTACTGATTGAAGCAGCCAACTCCAAATATACCATCTTTTAGTATTGACACTTAAAATAAAACTTCTCCCCAGAAAAAGAGTTCTATAAATGATGGCTGTAGAAATAGGCACTGTCCAGGCAGTTGTTTTGTGGAAGTAGTGTTGTTATTTTCTGGTGTTTTCCAAGTCATCTCAGATGGTGCGTGAAAATGAGATGCCAAAGAAGGCTTAAAAAAGATACCCTGCACCAGCTTCAGAATGTAAGCAAATCTTTCATTCCAGCGCTTAAAAGTTTTGAGAAAGCTAATCTAAAGTTAAATGTTTACTAGCATCTCTCCGATTATATTTTAGAAACTACTGCACAAAAATAAAACAAATTTCTTATTTTCTCTGGGTTGAAAAGTGCACATAAAATGGAAAATGCTTTTTATACCACTATTTCCAGCAGGGATTTTATTTTCATTTGTCATTTGCCAGCCTGGGGTATGTTGGGAGAAG
Organism: Homo sapiens; assembly: GCF_000001405.40. NCBI lineage: Eukaryota > Metazoa > Chordata > Mammalia > Primates > Hominidae > Homo > Homo sapiens. The sequence continues at coordinate 910,770 of NW_025791777.1, read as the reverse complement.
GAACAATTGATTTTTGAAAAGGTGCATTTGTGTGAAAACCAAAAATTGTGTTCAACAAATACTACTACTAACCCATATGTGGATATATGTGTTTTATACATGAGTAAAAAAAAAAAAAAAAAACATACATATATGTATGGCATATATATATATATATATATATATATATATATATATATATGCTATAGAAATGCCATCAAGTTACCAGTTTACTTCTAAATGTAACTGCTTAATATAAAATATGCATCTTTTTGTAGTACCTAATTCTTGCAATTCAGTGTATTTCCTGGCGAGAGGCAGAGATGAACAACCCTGGACAGTTACCACATATGGCTCTTATGAGGTAATGAGGATGGTTGTGATGAGAAGGGTAAAAAATAAAAAAGTTATTACAAAACATTTTTCAAGGAATTTTCCAAAAAATGATTTTAATATTCTCTTTGCTTATGGAATGATATTTAAAACCATGATTTCTGTGTCCTTTAAAATGACTTCTGATTTGTGAATTGTTCTCTGTGCTCCAAACTTCTTTTATTTGTCCCTGTGTTTATGCTCATAACCATTCATTTCCCTCTTTTCCCACTGACTTAGCCTCTGGGGTTGTAAAGAAGTTACTCGTTTATTTTTGTGTATGTGTGGGGTTTTGTCTTTTGTTTTCTGAGAATAAAGTATATGAGATCATGGAAAAAATCAGAAAACGAGGAAAATCATAAATTCATTACCAAAATAATTTCTGATTTGGTATTATAGCTCTGCAAATTACTTCACTAATTGTGTTCATAGGTACTATGGTACACTGTACACTGTTTTGTAACTTGCTTTTTAGATGGATTATATCATATTTTTCTGTATCAATAAATATGAATTCATTACATCAGTTTAAACTGATCAAAAACATTTTAATCAAAGTAATACAATTAAATTGCTAAATATCATAGGGAATCGAAGAGTTTATAATCCCAAACCATACTCTTTCTTTTCCTAGCCAGCTGGGGACATTTTTAATTGTTTCTATTTTCATTCTTTCTGTTTCAGTTCTTATAAAAATACATATATAAAATTGGCTAAATGATTAAATGTTATAGTAGTTCTTTAATTATAAATTTGAATAATATTTGTTGACTTCCAAACTGCATACCCCTTGCCTTGTCCAAGTAAAACTGTACCATCGTTTATTCTCTGTGTTGTCAATAAAACACTAAGTGATATCTGAGTTTCTAAATTTCAGTTCACTCATAGAATGTATCCTTTTTTTTCTTCTTGCCTCCAACATTTTATTATGAAATTTTCAAATTCATGATAAAAGTATATAGTATTCATCTGTATACTTACCTCCTAGTCTATATATTTTTTACATACTGTTTATAATTGTTTTATTATTTTCTACCCATTTGTCTATCTGTTAACCCAGCTTAATTTTTGATGCATTTAAAAGTAGGTTGTAGATACAAATAACCATCACCCTAACACCCTTCAATACAATGTTTACAGTTGTTTTTTTGACATTGGAATGTATCTGTGGTTTCTCTATTTCATAGGATCATAGCATTAACACCTTTACACTTCCCCTTACATCTCCTTCCATTTCTTCTCCCCGTCCGCCACCAGCTTCCATCATCTGTATTATACAGAATCTGTCCTAAAAAATTCTGAAGTAGGCCTTAGGTTTTTTTTGTTTTTTTAAAGGGTCTTGTTCTGTGGCCCAAGCTACAGTGCAGTGGCACAATCTCAGCTCACTGCAGCCTCTGCCTCCTGGGCTCAAGTAATCCTCCTGAATAGCAGGGATTACAGGCACAGACTACCATGCTTAGCTAATTTTTCTATTTTTTTATTTGTAGAGATGGGGTTTCATCATATTACCCAGGCTGGTCTCAAACTTCTGGGCTCAAGCAATCTACCTGCCTATGCCTCTGAATGTGCTGGGATTACAGGTGTGAGACACCCTGTGTGGCCAGGCCTCTTTTTAAAAATAAGCCTGATAGTTAATTTTATATGTCAATTTGACTGAGCCATAAGTTGCCCAGAGATTTTGTCAAGCATTATCCTGGGTGTGCCTCTGTGGGTGTTTCTGAATGAGATTAGTATTTAAATCAGTAGACTGAATAAAATAGATTGCCTTCCCTAATGTGGATGGGCCTCATTCAATAGCTGTGGGAATGAATAGATCAAAAGGGCAAACCCCTCCGTGAGTGACAGAGATCTCTTCCTGCCTGACTGCCTTCAAGCTGAGACACTGGAATTTTTTTTCTGCCTTTTGACTTCAATTAAAACATTGGCTTTTCCTGGGTCTTGAGCCTGCCCGTCTTTAGACTAGAACTAGAAGCTATCCTGGGTCTACAGTTTGCCAACTGCATACCTTTGGACTAGTCAGCCTTTATAATTGTGTGAGCCAATTCCTTATAACAAATCTTTATATATCGATATATAGAGATATATATTGATATATATATATATACCTATATAGAGAGATATATCTATATATCTATATAGATATCTATACCTATATAGAGAGATATGTCTATATCCATATATAGATATATAGAGATCCATATATATCCTCTATATATGGATACATCTATATATAGAGAGATCTCTCTAAATATCTCTATATCTATAACTATATCTACATCTACATCTATAGCTATATCAACATCCAATTTGTTCTTTTTCTCTGAGAACACCTACTGATAAATAAGTTTCTAAGTTTTGTCTATCAGTTGATGCTAAAACATTAAAAAAAGAGAACAACTAATACTCTTTTTACACTAATTAGAACAATGTAAGCCTTTTTGTTTTATTACCAAATAATTTGTATTTCCTATGTAATTGCTGCAGTTTTATTTTGCATATAGATTTTTTTTCCGTAACATCTTTGTCTGTTAGTGGTTTTATTTATGAATAAATAAATCCTTAGATTCATCCCACTTCTGAGGTCAGACATCAAATCTTTTCACTACATGCCTCTCTTTGGGAGGTTTCTTTCTTGCTAATCCAAACAAGAACATCTGCACAATTGTCAACCTGGAATTTACTTTATTAATCTCCTGGTTTGGAAACACTTTTTCTTGGATGTTATATTTACTTTAGTTTACTATTTTGTTGGCTTGCACTAATTTTATATGATTTCTTAATAATGAGTGTATGTTAGACATTTTACTTGAGTCTTTTCATATCACGGTATGCCTTTATTTTACCCTCATATATAATTAATTTTCATCTGGGCATATATTTCCAGATTAGAAATCATTTCTTTTCATACATTTTAAGGAATTTATACATTTGCATCTGAAATTGTATTCATTATCTTCTAGAAACCAAGAGTGGACTTGGTATCCGTCTGATTATATTTTCTTTGTTGGTAAAGAGCCTCTTTTTTCCCTTTTTATTTTCATCTTCTCTTTCTCTAGTGTTTATAATCTTATTTTTATGAATGTAGTCTAATTATTTAGAACACTGTCTCCGAGTATGTGTTTATTTGGGTTTGTGTTTTGAACATTGCCTCCAGGTGCGAGTTTATGTGTGTTTATGTTTCCTATTTGAGGTTGGACACTTAGAAAATTTTCTCAATTCGAAAACTATTTTCCTTCAGCACTCAGAAATTTTTATCAAAGATTATTTCCACGATTATTTCCTGTCCTTGGTTTTTCGTGTTCTTAACCTAGAATTCAATTGTTTAATGTTAGACCTTACACATCTTCAATGTATCATATATATTTCACTCATATTATTTATTGTCATATCTTTTGGACTATTGTGTGAAAGCAATAAATGTATATTACTTTATTTATTGGTAATGCTCTTCATTTTCAAATTTAATACACACAAATTGTGCATACCCACACACATATACCACAGATATATTCATTTTCAGGATTTCTTTAAGTGTTATTTTAAAAATAATCATATTCTTATTTTGTGAACTGTGGGATTTCTTGAAACTTTTTGAAAACTCTCATTAGTCTGTGTTTGTGTGGTTTCTTTAAATTATCTCTTCCTTCAGAATTACTTTTGTGTTTTGAATTTGAGTCTTTGCCATTCATAAGGCGGGCTTTCCTTGAATACCAGATAACTCTGAGTTTCCTGTTCATATTTAAGAATAAATAACCTAATTTGAAGTTTTGAGTTTTTGAGTTGTATTTATTGATCAGAGTTTTGGCCTAGAATGAATAAAAGAATCAATCATTTCTTCTACTTTCAGATATTCGGTTGGGGGTGTTCTAAGCACAATGGTGTCCCAACACTGTCCTAATTCTTTGCAGGTTACCTACAGAATAACGTCTTTTAAAAATTATTTCTTTATTGTTTACATTCTGGTCATTAATGCCTATATTTTATGCATTCTCAAGCATATAGGAGAAATTCTGTATATAGAATATTAGTTCATCTCTGTGTTTTTCCTGGCAAATTTTATGCCTTTTCTTTGGAATCACTGCCAAATCTGGGTCTCTTTCAGAGCTGTGCCTTCATTGCTGGAGCCCTCTCAGTGTAAACACTCGCATATAGCTCCTTTGGGCTTGTTTAAACAGTCACCAATCCTTCACCTATGTGCAATGTTACAGAAATTGGCCATCTTCTCTGATGACCTCTACGCCACTCCCTCCCATCAGAATTACGGGTTGTTATTTTTGTTCCTCTGCTATAAATTACTGATGCTCTCTGAAGAGGAGTTAAAGGTGTTTGGGAGGTACACCATTTCCCTGTACCAAAATCATATTAAGTAAAACTTGAAATCAACAGAAAAAATAGAAGTAATTATATGATGAAAATCTATATTCTCACAATCTAGATTAAACCATTCTCAACATTTTGTTGTATTTGCTTTACTTTCATATATGGATGATTTGAAAATAATTTACAAACATCATACCAACTCACTACACAATATTTCAGCACCAGTTTTCTGAAAATAAGACCTTTTCCTGCATAACCACATTGTCACAGTTTCAGTTAAGAAAATTAATTAAAATGCCTGTTATCACTTAATAATGGGTCATATTCAATACCCCCACTTCTCTCTCCAAATATCTTTGTAGCATTTTCTTTCTTTGTTTTCTGAACACGAAGCCCCATAAGTTTCAAGCATTGCATTTGGATTAGTGTCTTTACTTTCCTTAATATAGACGGATCACATATTTAAATATTAACAATTTATTTGTCATTATCTTTTGTCATGGAACTAGGTCCCCATTTTGAATTTTTCTGCTGGAATGAGAAACTTCCAGACATGTGGTCTAAATCTTTATTGCTCTATCTGTTTTACTATCGCTCTTCTTCAGTCTCAAAACATATATGGACAAAAGCAATCACATAAAGGTCTGTCCTACTTAATATGGACATCTTTATAAAAGCAGTTACAGAATCTTCTGATAGATCTATACACACATTCAGATGTAAGGGATATGTTTCTTATACAGGATACTCTCAGTACATTTTGTTGTAATAATCACGTATAAGTGGTAAGACCCATTACCATTCTTGAAATCTATGATTATAAGTGATGTAGAATGGTTTAGTAGTTAGTGATTGAGATTTAAAGTAATATTGTCACTGATTTGTTTACTTACACACAGGATTTACTCACTTAAACCAGCCAATATGAGTATAAGAAAATTTTGCGTGAGTTTCTTTGTCTGAAATAATTTTATTATGTACAACACAAACTACTTTTGCTAGATTCTTCCTGGTAAACTTATAAAACACTTAGTGTTTCCTTTTTTGAAGTTGCCTAGTTTCATGCTAATACTTATTCTGAGCTCAAGAACATCATAGTGGCCATTATATTAACTACAAAGCCATTAGATTATACTTAAGGTATTTATAGATGAAAGAAGATCAGACCCAAAGATGATCTATAACTCTGCCTGAGTAATGTTATGCAAATTGTTCTCTTTTCAAAGTCACCGAATGCCCAAGAATATTTAACATTCTATGCTAGTCTACTCTCCTGAGGTGACTCATTTGTTCTCCCTAGTTTAATTGTTGCTATATGAGCAAGAGGGATACCACTTTACAAGGTTAGGAATTCCCTCTAACAGCCCAATGTGCTTTGAGAACTCCCCTGCCTGAGTAACAGACCCAGAGCTATTTATCATCTGGAAATATTTCACCTTATATTGAAGAGAGCAGAAATCCATCTCAAAAAGGCCCCCAAGCATCCCCAGTGTATGCCAAAGAAGCTCACAGAAGAAAAAAGAATATTTGCAATGCTCAAGAGCAAAAAAGCTTATGTGCTAGGATATATTATACATCCTGTTATAGAAAAAAAAATATGCTATTCCCCCAATGCTGTCTTTTATCTTTCTTACTTTGCTCGAATATTGCCTTCATGGCTACATATAAAAGCCATCCTATTTTCTCAGATTGTCATATTTTACAACTTTAGCTCACTCCAATTATAATCTCTCATTTCAAAGTGTCACAATATGTGAATAAGAACTTCTATAAAAGTTGGAGAGGTCACTGGCTTGGACCCAGGATTTGGGAAGAAAAATATGAGAGAAGGTTAAAATAACTTCTTTCTTACTTTTCCAACATTGTAAAACATATTTCACAAGCTCGGTTTTAGGGAAAAAATTTCCAGACAATAAACCATTCATATCAAATTTTCAGTAATGGAATCTCTATTTTGAATAACAGTAAATTTGATGTATCATTTCAAACAATGTAGTTATTTTTCAGAATACTACATAAATGTATGTGATTTAGTCTAGATTTAAAAATAAATGCCAATAATAATCAGTTATTAATAACAATACATTACTATAGTTAGATATCATTTCTTAATTTATTGTTAGCATTTCTTCATTATTTCCATTATTAGCTCTTATCGAATATTATATACTATGTTAAATGCCTTATAGGTTTTATTTAATTTTGACTAACCACTGATATGCTATCATGAAAAATCTAGTAATAAAATCTTTTTAACTGAATTCAAATAGTCCCAAGTGCAAAATAAAATTTTAAAAACTATATGTCCTACACTAATTTATTTGCATATGCACTTAATAATCCCAATAAAGCAGCTTAACCCAAATCTGAACTCGAATGTAAACTCCATCTAACCTAATTTCTTTCTGTTAGTCTTTATTATCATAGTCACTTCTATTTATGTTTTATTTTCTCCTTTATTTTTTAATTTTTTTTTAATTTTAAATACCCTTTTATTTAATGGTATAAAATGTCTGGCTACATAAAATCAAATCAATTACGATAAGATAAATATAAGTACGATTTCAAAAAAAGCTAAATCTAGCTAAAAATTCTACATTTTTAACACATGCGAAGTATACATGATTTATTAGTAAAATGTAATACATTGGGAGTAAAACTTTAAAAAATATTTGATATATTCACATTTCTTAATTGCAGTATAGACAAAATGACCTACGAATCAAGCATTTTGTTCCACGGTCTCTACTGTTAGCTGTATGTCTCAGAAACAGCTTCTTTCTCAAGAGAGAACAAGAGGGATAATGCTGGATCTAAAGGCATCATCTGAAGAAGACAAAGATATCAACAATCGCAACTATTTGGCTTTCTGTCCATCACTGAGACTTTTCATAATCTTCCCTTCATAAATAGGATCTCTTGATCAGAACAGAAAAGTTGAGTCTTAAATTTCCTGTATTTATTTCTGACTGATACTGAGGGAAGTGCAAATTTGGTTGCTATGATTAAACTCCTTGATTGTTCTTAATGGGACTCTTTTAATAAGTCAAACATTTTTGCATCTAAGTATATTGATGAGCGCCACTTTATCTCAAATGTTTACACATACTAGGGAAAAGCATCTGCAGTTTCTGAACTCTTTGTGAATCAGTATCACTTTTTCATGTTACTTCAGAGATCAATATTCAGTGCATTGGTTTTATTTACCATCTTTTCTCCCAGTTGATCTTGTAATCATCAGAAAGGGAAAAAAAAATCTCCTTCACAAAGCCCTTTGCGACAAACTTATGTAAATAATAATCTAAGGACAGCTAGAAAAAAAATACACCATACAGGGGAATAGATCCAAAATTGATATCTGCCTCACCTGTATCACCTATTGTATTAGTAACTGGAAAGGTAAATAAATAGCAGAGACTAGAATGTTTCCAAACGTAGTCGTGAAAACTACTCCCCTCCTCCCCCCATATAACACTACAACAGGTTACTTTGGTTACAGGATATGACAATAGCTCTGCAATATCAGAAAAATGCCTGCCTGGCGCTGCGGCTTATGTCTGTAATCTGAGCACTTTGGGAGGCTGAGGTGGGCGGATCACTGGAGGTCAGGAGTTGGAGACCAACCCGGCCAACATAGTGAAAACCCGTCTCTACTAAAAATACAAAAATTAGGTGTGGTGGCGGACGCCTGTAGTCCCAGCTACTTGGGAGGCTGAGGCAGGAGAATGGCGTGAACCTGGGAGGTGGAGCTTGCATTGAGCCGAGATCACTGCACTGTACTCCAGCCTGGGCGACAGAGCGAGACTCCATCTCAAAAAAAAAAAATGCCTACAGTAGATTAGAAATAAGGAAAAGTTGCTTGATTTCCTAATTTTCAGGGTATAAGAAGAAATCTAGGCTATCCATGGGCATTCCCAGAAACATCAAGGTTTGCTAAAAACAGAAAATCGGAAGTAGAACAAAAAAAGCGGTGGGAAAAGCATTTAAGACATTGAGGCAAGCCGTGAGGAGTTTGTCAGTCTAAAGGTTGAGTAGAGGACCTTTAAGAAGAGGGAGACAAACATTAAATTTTCAACTTTCTGTAGTTTGATATAATACTTTCCAAGTTCTAGGGTTTCATTAAAACTTCACAAGCTTTTGGATTTTTTAACAAATATTAGGGCTGTGCTTCATGCTTGGGTTAATATGGGGTGAATAGAAGGAACAGCTGGGGAAGAAGAGATAAGAGACAGATTCTCTAGTAGAAATTAGGAGAAACGTAAGAATCCTATACATCTGCGTATATTTGAGGAGTCTTTAGAGTTCACTGAAGTTCATGGATCGGACGTTATAGCCATTTTAATGTATTTTCATTGTGACAGGATTGACTTTAGAAGGCTTAAGAATTTTGACGAAGAAAAAAGGGGAAAAAGAAGGCATAATAGAGAGAAAGGAAGGAAAGAAGAAAAGACAAAAGTGTAGCCACAAAATTGTCAACAATAAGAATTGTATAAGAATACATATTCTTCAAGAAATGAAAATAATTAGAACACACATTATGCCTAAATACGTTTTAAGAAATCAAATAAACATGTAGTTTCTAATGGAAGTTCTTCCATGTATTAGTAAATTCTTCCCACAAAGCAGTTTATCTATTTATTGTGAAAGCGATTGAGTTTTGCAGTACCAAGGGATCTTTTGCTTTTAAACCAGTTAATTAGTTTTTATTAGATGCAATGCAGTGTTTTGACCAGACTTTTCTCTGTGCTTTTGGGTGTGTTTCCCTATTAGCAGGTAAAACATTTATCTCTTGACTAAAAGTAGATGACATCTTTCCCCAACCATGAGTCCTCAGGTTGTTACAGAGGCTGCCTTCCTGTCTCACTCTGTACCCCCCATTGCCTCTCCAAGTTTAAAAAGGAAATGATTAATTAGTCAAAAGAATATGTTAAAAATGTAACATATTATGTTTAACATAAGTAACTAATGATTAGTCAAAAAGAATATGCTAAAACTTTAACACATTATGTTTAACATAAGTAACTATATTAAAATTTAGAATATATTTATGATTTCCAAATCAATGGTTTGTTTTTGCAAAACCTGCACCAGAATGAAATGACCCTACAAAGTGGAGATAATATAAAATCCTTTTTTTCCACTGAAATTTGTTTTAGATAATACTAATTCTATCAGTGGCTTTCTCTTACCCTTAAATGGATGTTAAATTAGTTGAGAGATGTGTTCAATTCACAATATTTGAGAATGGAGCAATATGATACACTTATATCAAATCCCTTTGTGTAATCTTATTCTTTCTCTGGCTGTTGTACACTTTTCCATCACCTCATATTTAATTTGTATCCTTCTTTCTGTCATTTGCTGTGGATTTTTATCAGAGTTGGTCTAATTTTAGAGGTCGAAGTTTTCTTTTCACAGGGATATGAAATTAGACACAATCATACCATATTTAGTGATTTCTGTGTTTTCACCAGATCAAACACAGATCACATGGTCCATGCTCAGCAATGGTTTGATGAACTAATGAATTTATAAAGGAACGAATGCATGCACATATAGCAAGCCCATCTTTAAATTTTGTTGTTGTTGTCGTTTGAATTTTTGTTTGGCATATAGGGTGTATACAACATAAAAAGAGTTAAAATCCATGATCCTGAACATCAGATATTTGTGGGTTAGAATCCGAAACTGATCACTTATTACATTTGTGTTATTGTGTAAATTACTGAATTTCTTCATACCTCAGAGTCTTCATATGTAAAATGTAGACTATAATATTTATATCATAAATTTGGAGAATACTGTAGAGAATTTGGCTTCACAGTTTGTTTTCCTTCATTTCTCTCCCTTCATATCCAAATAAGCCCAGTATAGCAATATTCCTTTCTATTTATATTAACTTATATAAATGTGCATGAGAAAACTGATTGGATTCAATAAGATGGTAGAAAAAGCTATCAAGCTTCTATATTTTGCCAGGCAACTTTCTAATGGCTTTATGTGTCTAAACCCACTTTAATACTCAGAAAAACACTATGATTACAATCCTTCTATTAGCATTCTCATGTTGTAGATACAGAAATTGAGGGACAGGCAGGCTAACTTGGCTCAAGACACACAAGTAAAAATATTCAGAGCAGAGATTAAACCAGGTTGTCTAACCCCACGTGTCTTTGGGACTAGCATTTAAACTGAATCATCTCACTTTTAATTTGATAATACAATGCCATTAACAGGAAAAAAAACTTTTGAAATATCTTGAGAGAAAAAAACCAAAAAAGCTGAATCTATGTTCAGAGAATTGAATTAGCAATAGATATAAACTACCCAAGTTTTCGTTTTGTGACATCAATTTGAGCAAAGCCAGATTTGTATTACCCTGAATGCATTAATAACAATAGTATCATTGAAAAATACTTTCGACTGCCCATTAGTAATTGTACTAGGTACTAGAAAACACAATTTAGTAATCGCTCCCAGGGAGTCAGTTTTTTGAATAAAATATTTTTCTATGGTTGTGCACATTGTGCCATAATTTGCTTTGAAAGACATAAAATCCATCATATTAAAAAGGTAATAGAGTAACTCCATTTAATAACAGAAATGGTCATTAAAATATCTACATTCTTTCTCACAATGAACTAATAACTACACAGATTTGTGCATGTGTATGAAGACGTTTATATGTGTTTTATGTGAGAGAAAAAAATGAAAAAATGGTATTTTCTTGTGCTCAGACAAGCACAATTTTTGCAAAATAAATACAAGGCCAAATATATATATTTATTTATATATATATATACTTGTTATATATGTATATATAGGTTATATATATATTTGTTATATATATAACAAATATATATATAATTTGTTAAATATATAACATTTATATATATGTATATATATCTCAATGCTCTTAACAATGCTCATAAGAACACAATCTGAAATTACAGTGTCTGCTTATTTTCAAGGGTGGTTTGAAGGTGACCTATTTTTTGTAGCATCCATCACTGTGGGGATTGCTTAGTGTGTTAAAGCATGAAGCCGCCTTACCGAAGTCTTCTATTTCCTTTCCTCATTCTATAGTAACTACTTCAAATGGATTTGAATGTGTAATATCACAAATGCAGAAAAAATAAATACAAGAACTTAGCTTGTTTTCTTTGCATTATGAGTCAAGTTTTTTTGTCAAATTTACTGCTAAGAATTAATATTTCATGGTCTTATATCTTGTAATAGTATCATAAATATTATCTTACTTGCATAATAATTTATACATAATATTTATTTTCTGCCCCATAGTGTGAAAATGAGTAATCTTAATCCCAAAGATAAATATTAACTATCCTGTGTAAGAAATGCAGTAAGTTACATCTTGTTTCTAAATACAGGTTAGTGAGAGATCATTTTTTTAAAGCTCTCATTATAAACATATTAAGAAAGGAATCATTCTCAGAGTTTACTTATTTCCCAATAGGTTAATAGGATTCCCAAGAAACTGCCAAAGAGATAATAGTTCCATTTTGACTTTAACTTAAAAGAAAAAAATAAAATAAGAAGGCAAAAATGCAAAAACGAAAAAAATAGATGTCACAGATGCTATAACTTGAACTTTGACTGTTTTAGCAAGTATATACTATTGAATGCCTGACTGAAATAAATTGATTTCAGGCTGTTGCATTTTTAAAGGTCAGAAAGTTTTTTTTTTTTTTTTTTTTTAAATGAGTTTCAGGATTATGAAAGCAGGTGCTTAAGTAGAGATTGATTGAAGCCTTAAATGTTGAATATTTCTTTTAAAGTTTGGTTGCTTTTCAGAAGCTACTAATTTATTATTATTATTATTAAGGTTCTCCTAATGATTCTTGGAGTCCATGGAATTATGTGTGTGCGTACGTGTTCGTAGAACATTTTCTTAAAACTGACACATGAATGTTATTGACCATAGAGTTGCATTATTTCCGAGATTAAAAAAAAAAAATTAGTTTTCTTACTGATCATCCACTGGTTTTTACAATTTTTCCTTCTCCATGTATCGTTGGTTTCTTATTAAGGTAAGTTACAGACAGAACTTATAGATGGAATTTCCAAGACTAACCAGGGTCCAAACATACTTCAGTGTATTATTTTACATCATAAAACTTGATGTATTAGTCCATTTTCACTCTGCTGTAAAGAATTACCTGAGACTGGGTAATTTATAAAGAAAAGAAGTTTAATTGATTCACAATTCTGCACAGCTGGGGAGGCCTCAGAAAACTTACAACCTTGGCAGAAGGCGAGGCACATCTTACATGGCGGCAGGAGAGAGAGAGAGAGATAGCCAGGGGTGAAGTGCCACAATTTAATACCATCAGATCTTATGAGAACTCACTCACTATCAGAACGATGAGGGGGACATCTGCCCTCATGATCTAATCACCTCCCACTAGGCCCCTCCTCCAACATGTGGATATTACAATTCGAGATGAGATTGGCGGGGGGTGGAGGGTGGACATAGAGCCAAACCATATCACTTTAGCTTATCAATACTGAACTAAATCAAAATCAAACCTGAATTTTCAATTATGACTGAAATGTAACCTACAGAGTAGTAGGAAGTATTCTACAACAGACTCCTAGATTTCTCTCCCCTGAGTGTCCATATCCTGCATAATCTCCAGGACTGTCAGGACAATGGATTTTATTACTATGCTTATGCTATGTCATATGACACAGTTAATCTTCAAATAAGATTATTTGGGTGGGCCTAACCCTATCACATGAGACCTGTAAAGCAGAAAGTTTTTTCCAAGTGTAAGAAAAGGAAGTCCAAAACACATGCTCCAGCCAGCTTGGAAGAAAGCAAATACATGTGTTAAAGCTGTGGATGCAGAGAAGCCACCTGCAGGAGTTGAACTACCTACACCCCAGCTCACAGCTGGCAGTAACAAAGGAAACCTCAACCTTAAGAGAGCAAGGAAGTGTCTTCTATCAACAATATGAATTATCTTCAAAGCTGCTTCTTCCCTAAGAGCCTCAAGAGATGAACACAGCCCTGCTGACACCTTGGTTTCAATCTTGTGAGACCCTGAGCAAAGAACTCATTCACACTGGGCTGAATTTTTGCCTGCAGAACTGTGAGTTAATAAATAAGGGTTATTTTCAGCTGCTAAGTTTATGGAAATTTGAAATGCAGCAATAGAATACTAGTACAGATAAATACTGAAATCTAATATTTGCATTACTTCACTTAAAAAGAAATCATGCCTTAAGAGTAAAGAGAATTTTTATTTCTCGGTTATGTGCTATAGTTCTCTGATACATTTTAATTTGTTTGCTTATTTATTTTTCCCTGCCAGTATCCTCTCTCCACTATTTCTGGTTGACACTTCTGCCCCTTCGTTTTATCAGTGTTTTGATACCTATCCTCTCTGTGAATACAGTGATATTGGTAATTACTGTATTTTGTCCCTTACCCACAGGCTGAGCAAGAGTCTTAGGTCTGGCCAATAATCATGGGCAGCTTTTTAGAAAAAAGAGTAGTTGCTTCATTACTCAGATGGTCCCCACCTCATCTTGTGCACTGGACAATGTAATAGAGTTCCCTCTAAAAATGGAGAAAATAGAGACTACACACAAAGGGAGACAGAGGTAAGAAAATTAAGAAAAGGAGAAAGAAAGGAGTTCTGACCACATGATGTCAATTCCAACAAGTATTCTTGACTTTTCCACATATAATGTACTCATCAATCTCTTACTCTGAATTTGTTTTTGTTACTCTAAAGAACAACAACAACAAAAAAGAAAAACAATATTCGGCCTAAGTGACCCCCAAAACACAATTTCCTACTTTCTTTTCCATGCAACTGGCATTTATTGAATACTCATTGTATTCAAGTTTCACAGATTTGGAACAAGTTCATCATTACGTCCCCAAAGGTAACCTGGGAAGAGAAACCTTGTTCCACATCAAAGTCAGTACAGCAGGTTTTGCTACTGCTTCATCATTTATACAGTTGGAAACAACTCTGTTTCTTCTACTAGGTCAAAGTGAAATTGAGAGGCGAAGCCGGCTGGGCTTCTGGTCTGGTGAGACTTGGAGAACTTCTCTGTCCAGCTAAACGATTGTAAACATACCAATTAGCACTCTGTGTCTAGCTGAAGATTTGTAAACACACCAATCAGTACTCTGTAAAAGCGGACCAATCAGCACTCTGTAAAATGGACCAATCAGCAGGATGTGGGCAGGGCCAAATAAGGGAATAAAAGCTGGCCACCTGAGCCAGCAACGGCAACCGAGTGGGGTCCCCTTCTACACTGTGGAAGCTTTGTTCTTTTGCTCTTGCTGCTGCTCACTCTTTGGGTCTGCACTACCTTTATGAGCTGTAACACTCACGGTGAGGGTCTGCCACTTCACACCTGAAGTCAGTGAGACCAGGAACCCACCAGAAGGAAGACACTCCAGACACATCTGAACATGGGAAGGAACAAACTCTGGACACACCATGTTTAAGAACTGGAACACTCACCGCCATCACGGCTTAGTGCTTGAAGTCAGCGAGACCAAGAACCTACCGGAAGGAACCAATTCCAGACACAAAATGTCAGCCAATCCAAACTTATGAAGGAGGGAATTCTGGGCTGTTGATCTAGTGTGTAGTGAGCTCAATATAGAGGACAGAGCTTTCATCATGTAAATTGATATGCAAAGGCAAATGAAACGTGGTGTGTACTTCCTACTGATGCGTCAGGGTATAGGCCTCTTTTTCTGCCATTCAAATAATGGAAGTTAATTAAATTTTAAACAAATGTATAGATTCATTAGTTTTACTGTGCTCCATGCCAGTATTCTCCAACTCAGCCATCCTAAGCATTTTTTAAAACAGGGGATTTTTGAAAATGAAAGCTTAGCAGCCACCTCATTATGCTAAATGTCTGTGGAAAAATGCGGGGCCAGGGTTCAGTTTCTCCCCACTCCCCTTTCCCAATTCATAATCATAGGCACACACAGGAGGTATCACTGTAATTCACAGAACACATTTAAATCTTCTGCTTGAAACTTTGTGGTACCATTATTTGGCTACTCCAAGCTAACCTCTCTCCTATCCTTTTCTGAGGGAAACACTTTGTGCTCAACATAATTTTTGTTTCATTCCAAGTTTTGATGCTGATTGCATAAAAAACAGCCCACAAGTACTGCTGTATTTTTAGTTTAAAACAGGCTTTATTTACTGCCTTATAAAATGTTGAGTACTTTTGCTTCCGTGATCATGCTATGCTTACAGATATAAAAATTGCCGCCCATTTTATGTCTTGAATCCTTCCCTGAGTAGTCGGCATAACATTTGTTGGTTCTGAGTACACGTTGGTGCTAATGAAGCTTGAAATTTATTGACCTTCTCGTAAGAAGGAGAATAATAAGATATTTGAGCAGTCGGCTCAGGTACTTATAAGTTCACACACACGTGTTTTTTTTTTTTTTTTTTTTCTTCCAATGCCTGCTTGAAGTGTAGACCATGTCTTTCTCGTACTAGAACTATTTCTACTACGATTCTTGAGCTGGCCATTCTAGAGCTTTGCACATTCCTTGTCTGAAGGGATCGGCCCTGGCCATGCCAGCTGCCTCCCAGCCATAGGTAGCTCCTAAACCAAATTATACTTGTGATCAGGTATTGCAAAAATAATGTTAGTGTAATATAAATTGGTAAGAAGAAAGTATAGATTTTAAAAGAAAACCAAATGGTCTTCATGCATGGCTTCTGTCGGCATAAAATCAGGCCGCTGGAACTAGGAAGTTCCTTAGAGAACATTGTTTCAATTACTTCAGTTCACAAATGAGGAAATTGAGAATCAGGAAGGCTAAGTGATTTCCCCAATATCATAGAGCTAGTTAATTACAGAAATCAGAATAGAAACTGGGTTATCCAATCCTCTGCCCAGGGTTCTTTCCATTACACCAAATAAAATTACCTGCTGCTATTTGGGCTAGATGGCTCATTATAGGAGCCTTTTAATGTTTCACAAATCAAAATATTATGTTCCTATAAAATTTAAAACAGTTAAAAATAAAACAAGTTTTGTTTTCTGATGGTTTCAGATAAAATACATTACATTAAATGGATTTCATATGTAAATGTGTTACCGCATTTATATGAGGAAAAAGTTCTACCAGAAAGCATTAGGAACTGAGAATTGATGGCTGCCAGGATTAGAAAGGATGACATCAAGTTCAAGCTCCAGTAGCAACACAGAAAAATATAACATGGAGTAAAATTAGTAGATAGAAGCGTCATTATCTGACTTGGGTATGTTTGAAGAGAAAAATGTAAATCAAAAGAAATGGGATTATTTGTTTATTAATAATGACATTAATATTTTCTATTTGAATAATTGCTATAGACCTGTGAATTATTTTATAGATATTATCTTCTTTGACATTATTAATAATCGTTTTCTTCTTAGCAATCAAGATGAGGGGGCTAAACCTTGGGATATTAAAGTATTTGTCCAGCATATTGCAGCAAACAGGTTCAGAGTCTGGGAACAAAACTCAGGTGTCCTGACTTTGTCTCAATAATACATATTCTCTGGTTTTATTTTAAATTTTACTGTAATCTATTTTGGAAGCTTTTCAACAATGAAAAAGAATACTGTTCCTCCAATATTTATCCCTGTTTAAAGGGCCCAAAGTTGTGGTCATGAAGAAGCAGTAAATGATGAATATTTTCTGCATTTCACATCTTTTATCACATGTTATATATTGTGGGGCATAAAATTTTATGAAATTATAGTTACATGCCTGAAATGGATTTTAAATCTCTTCATTTTCTGTGTCAAAAGTGACAGCTGTAAACCTGAAAAATTAAAGCTGCGGTGTAATTCATCTTATCCATAAATAGTTTACTATACATTATACAGTTTGAAGTAAACAATAGACCAGACTTAAAAATGATATTTTTCCATGGAAAACTATGTGATAAATACTAGAGATGCCATGAATATAACTGAAATTATATCACTTAAATATAGACAGAAGATTCTCTACTTTCTTCTTTTACCTTCTTTCTCTCATACTCAAAAGATATGAAAATGTCAAATAATATGCATATTTTAAAGTTGTTTGCACTGCAAATAGATAAACGAAATCGATCTGCAAATTTCCAAGCTAAGAGATGATTATATCTAAAGTAATTCACCTGATTATTTAGGATTGCCTGCAAAATCTACAATGATTTTATTCCTCACAATATTGTTTTCCAATTTGGGGTAGGAGCTAAAAGTTATTGTATGACATCAAGTGATTTGAGGGATGAGAATGTGTTTCCTTAGCGGGAAAACTTGCTGAAAAGAAGAGAGATTTTTTAAAAAGTTCTTGCTTTGACCTGTCTGGATCAGATGGTTTAAGGCTACAACACGAGGCCAATATCTGTATGTGAAGGAGACAGAAACATCAATGTTTGGAGTATATATTGACCTTCATTCTTACTTTCTCCTTATTCTCTTATGTAACTGTTAATTTTTCCCTTCCTTGGCTCTATGTATTTAATTATAATAAGCTTTACCTACAAGCAAAACAAACCAAACATGAACAATGAAAACTACTTTTGGTCATGTAGCAGAAACAGCAGTCAATAAAGGAGAGAATGAAACTAGAATCTTTTTTAAACTAAATCTGAGAAGAGTGTAAGCTTTCAAAATTTTAAATATATATATACATTTGCACTTCAGTGATAGTGCAATTCCAGTCCTTCCACCACAGATCATGTGTGGTTTTATCTATTAGCATAATGTTAGTTTTCTCTTGCATCTTATGTTGAGTTTACGTAGTACAGAGGACACAAATAGTTCCCTGCTTAAAATGAGAACTAATCCTTTTGTGTTATTAATAATTACAATATCAAAGTTTACATTAAAATTTTTAAAAATGTCTGTACAAAATATCAGAAAAATCAGCCTACTTCTTTATAATTGGCTGGGTAAAGTTGCATTGATGTTAGATCTTTATAAAATATTTTAAGGGTCAGCATTTTAAGCAGAATAGCAGTAAATAGTTCCTTACATAAAAGCAAACTTAAACATATGACAGTGTCTTCTCGTGTGTCATTTGAATGAGGGAACCACAGTTGGTCTCCTGAGAAACTGTTCTACCCTTCATTTCATGATACACAGTACCCTAGGCTCTGTCTTTCTTCGTTCTTTTCCTTCTCAAGGGAAGGTTTCTTCCTTCAAAATGAGGCATAGATAAAGAAGGATCTTATATTTACTATAACTTATGCATGTTTAATTGTTTTAAAACATCATACAGAGAAAATTAAATACCACAAACGAAAGTATTTAATCTTAAAGTTTGCCTTAACGGTCTCCATTTCCATTCACAGTGCTTAGAGGTGAAGTGCTTCCACCATTTACAATTTGCAGCAGGACATACTGGCAGGAAATCTTTATTAAAGCAATAGTAGCCCTTTCCTTTTTTCTTTATTTATTTTACAAACCAACCCTTAGTTACTATGCTTTAGCTGAGACTTACCAATTTTTCTTCAAGTATCAATTAAGGTAGACATATTATTCATCATGAGAGAATTACCATTCAGTATTCTCTGGGTGCTTTTTCTCACATACTTGTATCTTGGTCTTAAAAATGAAGCACCAACATTTAAAAGGCAAACATGAGACCATCTCTTCTGAGACTGCCATTGTATCTAATATTGTCTGATTCAAAATGTGGGTCTAAAAGCAAATGAAAATTGACTTTCTTTTCCAGCTCGGCACACAAACCCATTGAACTGTCCCTTCAGGTTTGATGCGCTATCAGTTAACACTGCACTATCTTCACAAGAAATATGATTTGACCTGAGAAGAACTGCAGCAGCCTGAAACATATATTCCCAGATCATGTCTCTCAGAGTACTGTAGCCATTAAATGTCTTCCATAATGTTCGTGATAAATCTGAGTATTAGTGAACAATATCTGTTAAAGGCATCTCTTTGGAACTTCAAGTCTAGTGTACAGGTGCGCATCTGCAATGGGATTTTCCAGTCATAAATGTCGATAGGTCAATCTATCAAGGTTTTCCTCAAACAAGTATATATACTCAGCACTAGTGAAGTTTTATTTTTTAGAATTTATTTTGTATCTCTAGGTGGATATAATGTAGAATATCACTTAAAGGCATAGACTTTAAAATCAACTGCCTGGGTTTGGTGCTATGACCTTGGGCAAAATAATTAACTTTGTATGTGTAAAAGGGAAATAACTGTGGCAGTTGGGAGAATTAAATAAAATAATAAAAAGTTAAGAGTTTAATACAATGCAAATACTTTGCACTACTAGGCATTACCTAGTATTTCCTTCCACCCATTTGTGTCTAGTTTCTTTTTCCCATGGTTGTTTGAGCCGATCTGCTCATTTGCTGTTATTAATGAAGTTCAGTCACAGTGTAGAAATGTGACTCCTGCTATTTGCTTTTTCTTTTCTTTTTTCTTTTTAAAATTATTTTGTAGAGATGGAATACTGCTATGTTGCCCAGGCTTGTTTTGAACTCCTGGCCTTAAGCTAGTCTCTCGCCTTGGCCTCCCAAAGCTCTGGGATTACAGGTGTGAGCCACCACACTCAGCCCCATGTGCTGTTTCTTATGCTTAATGTTTTTTGGTTATTTTTTTTTTATCTTTGACAGCCTGAGCCAATATCTATGTGTACTAGGAAAATGCCACACAGAACACTGAGCCTGGCATCACATCAGCCGTTGGCCTGAGTGCAAATGATATCTGCAAGACCAAACAGATAAAGCTATATGTATAAGTCTCAGAAAGAGTAGGAGGACTCAACTTTGGTGATCACTTTATCAAGTTAATCTCAACAAATAAGCAAGGGGTGGGACTCAACCTCTTCATTCTTACTGTAGCAATCTGGAATCAGTCCATCACCATGACTGATGGTGTAAAATGACATAATTACTCATTAATCTCCACTTAGAAAGTATATATTGCTACTGGCTGGAAATACTGCAGCAACCAGGAGGACCTTCACATTTCTACCATGTAGAAGAATTAAAGATTATTACATTCTGTCTTCAAGTGATGATCGGATAGTGCACAAATATTTTACCTGCCATACATATAAATTCAGCCAATGTGCAATTTAGTTTACAATATTCTTCAGCTGCAAAAGGGTACTTATACTTTCTTTAATATCTATTCAGCTCGAAAAAAAGCCTATCATATCTATTAAAATCAATAGACTTTTTACTTTGCATTTGTTGTTTACTTACATTATTAGAAAAAAGAAGTAATCAGTACTGTAGAAAATTTCATTGATGCAGTTTTCCTTTTCCTGAATATTTTATAAATTAGAAAATAAAGGCCAAGACATATTAAATAACTTGCCCAATCCTAGGTAGCTGGAACATAGGGAGTAAAAACACAGACGTGACTTCACCCTCTAAATTTGTCACCATTAATTGTTGTAGCTTTCAGCAAATGATTACTTCAGAACATTAAATCATAAGACAATGAGATACACTATCTTTTATTTCACTGAAGCTAGTGAACATCTATTTTAAGCAATGTCTTTAACAGTTTCTTAGCCTTTTGGGATCTGATTGCAAAGTTGTTAATGAGCATGACAGCCACCGCTAGAGGCCTACCTGATATCCCGTTCCCCTTCTCCTTTTTAATAGAATCCTTCCATAGTCACAGCATGTATCATCAATGGCTGTGTTTTGCCCAATTAAAATGCTCACTCCTCCCAGAATGCCTCAGAGCTAGAGTACACATGTGACTTCATTTCACCTTATGCAGTAAACATGGGAAAAATCTTTTGGGGCTTTTTAGGAAAAGTTTTTTTAATTATTTTATTCTATTTTTTAACTTTTAGGTTCAGGAGTACGTGTGCAGGTTTGTTATATAGGTAAATTGAGTGTCATGGGGGTTTGGTGTACAGATTATTTCATCACCCAGGTTATAGGCATGGTACCCAATGGCTAGGTTTTCATTCTGCACCCTCCTCCTTCCCTCTGCCCTCGAGTAGGCCCTGTCTGTTGTTCCTTTCTTTGTATCCACCTGTATTCATACTGCATGTACTTTTTGCTGCTTTTTTTTTTAATCTCTCCATTTTTTTCCTTTGTCTTTTCCATGGCTTGCCAAAATAATGATTAGAGATGCAGAAACTGGTTTACGATCATAAAAAAGAAAGCCACATGTTTGATTGAGAAATTAAAAGGTCCTTTTTTGATGTTATCATGGAGTTGCTGTATAAGACCCAGGATGCCAATCTTTGGGTTGCTGTATAAGACCCACGAGAAAAATAAATCCTTCTTTGTTTAAGAGATTATAATTGGATTTCCATTCTGTGCTGCTGAATCCAAATCTGACCTAGGAGATTACTAGGTCAGTATTTTTCTTCATGCAGCAGTGTTTATACTTGTAAAAGTTATTTATGACTTTATAGGAAGAATCATATCAATGTAAAACATATGTAAAAGAGAGACTCCAAAACTCATTTAGTTTGCTCTATACTAGTCAGTAAATATAAAATGAAAAATATTCCAAACATTTTTATTGATAGAGTCATTTAATTTTGTATTTTTAAATGACAAATGAATACTTTATGCAAAGAAAACTTATTATGAACTCTCTAATAAATAATGAAACAATTATTTTGTAAAGCATTTTAAAAAGACAAGAACATTTAAAGGGAAATGATCTGTATTGAGAATACAGAGCTACCCTTTTGTTACAAATCAGGTAACTGTTCTATATACTATTTTGCATAAAACTGCTATAAAGTTTGTATTTTAATAATGCAGTTTTCCATTTTGTAAATATATTTTCTTACAAAATATGAGATGCATTTAAAAATGATATTTATTCATTGGATTTATTCTCCATATCCCTTAAAATTCAATTAAATCATTTACAAATTGTCTGGTTTTAACTTATCTGATTGAACATCTGTAAATAATGTGTTTGAGCAAAATTCACTTTTTTATAAAATTGCAAGTATGGGTATCTTTTAGGGACATGTGGGTGACTCTTTCAATATAGAAGATCACACAAAATTTGGCCATAACACGTCACATATCTCCATAGCCTAGAGACACATCATGAAATAAAGTATTTCATTAGCCTGCTGGGACAAGATTCAGTGTGCACAGCAATATGGAAAAAAAAAATCAATATAATGAACATTTTCATAAGCTCAGATTTCCTGATTAAAGTATGATTCTCTGAAGACTGCTTCAAAATGGATATAAATATAAGTACTTTCTCACTGAGCACTCTAAGAGAAAGTTTGGAACACATTCTATTTTGAACATTATAAATTGTGCTTTCAAAAATGATATATAGCTAAAGAAAATTATTTAAACAAAAATGGGCTTTTGATTTAGTGGATATATGCCTAAAAACTGTATATTTTTCATTTTAATAATACCTGTATGGGAAATATATATGGGTGTTAAGGGATCTTATTGCCAGTCAGAGAATGGAATTTGCTTTTATAAATTTATGAATAATTCTTACCTTATATAATATATATAAAATTTTCAGTATGATGCATGTATATTAAAATGTATAAAAAGAACTATAATCGTCACATTTTCTCCAAGCATTTACGTGAACAACATGTGAGCTGGGAAGAGAATCAGAGGTTTATTTAACTGGAATTAGTTAATGAAGTCATCTGTCACTGTTAATTTCTTGCCTTGCTATTCCGTTATCAAAGCAACTGAAATGATCTTAAAAGCCAACCATTACAATCATTAATACTCAAAGTAAATATTACATTTATAGATGCAGTAATCTCAAACCTAGCACTTTCATTCAATCATAGATTCTGTCATATGAAGAAAGCCAAAGAGACAATTTCAGAGTAAACATTGTTAATGGAAATTACGTTTTGAAAGGGCCTCAATTACATTGGCAGTGGGCCGTCCTCTGAGCACCATAAGAAAATGTAATTTCATTGAATAATTCTAGTGTTGCATTGACTGGAATCAAAAAGTGAGTAATTCATTTGTACTTATAAAAGGAAAAATACTTCACTACCACACAGAAAGTGGAGAAGAAGCACACTGGACTGTGAGCTTCTAAAGGGAATATTTCCCCGAGACCCATCTTCATAGTCAATAAATAAATGTTTATTTGTTTCGTTTCATGAAAGAATAAATGATCAGTAGGCCCCTGCTTCCAAAAAAAAAAAAGGATTTACATTTAGGTTAAATTCCAGAAGTGTAATACTAAGAAGTGTCTTTTTTAATTTAAAGCTTCATGCTATGTTAAAACATTTTTGGCTCAAAATTATCTTCTTTGTTTGTCCCATTTCTGTCTGAGCACTTTGAAATAGTAATTTAGTTTTACAAATGGAAATGATTTGACTAAGAACAGGAGGGTCTGATGCAGAAAAAGCCTCAAATCCTGGATCCAGATTCAATGTATTTATCTTTATATCAGTGAATGAGAATACAAATGTACGCATTAAACCTCAGTCCATTTCTCTTCCATTCTTCTAAAACAGCCACCCATTAATTTCTTACCTCTGTTCATTATTAAGCAGAACACATATGGTTTGCATTTTCATAAGACACTTGTAAACTATTCCTTCCTCATGCTGTTATTTTGTGGTAATTGTCAAAGCTACTTATGAAGCCACTCTCAGTGCATAGAAATCCTACACTGAACCCCACTGGAGAAATGAGGGGACTAGTGTATATTGTTAGCAATAGGAAGGCTCCTATTTCACTCAGTAAAACCTAAATCCTTGGAGTGGCCTTCAAGTTCCTACACTTTCTGGCCCCTACACTCATTCCCACTGTTTCCTTAACCTCATTTCCTATTACTCTCTTCTCGCTGTTCATGCACGCTGCCCTGCCACCTCAGGGAGTTTGCACTGCTGTTCCCATACCTAGAGTGCTATTCCCTAGATATCCGCATGGCTAATTCTCACTTCTTTCAGTCCACATTGTTGCTGAAATATCAACCAAATTGAGTATTGTTGTCAATCCCACTTTATTTTGTATTATAAGTACGGGGGTACATGTGCAGGTTTGTTACATGGATGTATTGGGTAATGGTGAGGTTTGTGCTTCTAATGTACCCATCACCCATAAAGTAAACATTGTACCCAATAGGTTATTTTTCAACCCTCATCTCTCTCCTATCCTCCCCACTTTTAGAGTCCCCAATGCCTATTATTTTCCTCTTTATGTCCATGTGTACTCATTGTTTAGCTTCCGCTTATAAGTGAGAATATGCAGTACTTGATTTTTCGAGTTATTTCACCCAAGATAATGGCCTCCAGCTCTATATGTGTTGCTGCAAAACACACGATTTTATTCTTTTTATGGCTGGTATATGTACCATATTTTCTTTTTTCTTTCTTTCTTTACTGTATTTATTTATTTATTCATTTATTGAGACAGAGTCTTGCTCTGTTACTCAGGCTGGAGTGCAATGGCGCAGCCTAGGCTCACTGCAGCCTTTGCCTCCTGGGTTCCAGCGATTCTCCTGCCTCAGCCTCCTGGGTAGCTGGGATTACAGGCACCTGCCACCACACTTGGCTAATTTTTTTGTATATTTAGTAGAGTCAAGGTTTCGCCATGTTGGCCAGGCTGGTCTCGAACTCCTGACCTCAGGTGATCTGCCCGCCTCGGCCTCCCAAAGTGCTGGGATTACAGGCATGAGCCACCGTGCTCGGCCCTAGTATGTACCATATTTTCTTTATCCAGTCATCCATTGATGGGCACTGAGGTAGATTTCATGACTTTCCTATTATGAATAGTGCTGCAATAAACATAGCAGGCAGGTGTCTTTTTATAAAAATGATTCCTTTTCCTTGGTGTAGATATACAGCAGTGGGTCAATCCCATTTTAAAATGCAACCTGCTTTGACCTCAAACACTCTTGATCTTTCTAATTGTTGTGATCTACTTAAAAAAAAAAACCCACTGGCCATTTTCTAATGTATTGTATTAAAACATTTTTACCTGATATTTATTGTTTCTTTATCATTCTACTGGACCTTAATTTCTATGAGAGCAGAGGATATTGTCTGTTTTACACTGCAAATATACCCAAACCACTCAGAACAGTGTTGTGTTTACTGCCACTATCAGACACTTTTTGAATTAATGAATAAATTTATAATCAGTCCTTCAATTATTTTTTCCTAAATTGCCTGAAATTGTATACCTAGTCAACTTACTCTCCTACTCTCTGCAATGGGTTTTCAAATGTATTCAAACTTCTGGTTACCTTAGAACTTCTAGTGCCATCCCTTTACCTTTGCAGCTTATAGGTCACCTTTGTTCTCAGGTTGGCTCAATCCTATGGAAAAGCTTTCTATCCTCTTTCTACCAACTACTAAAGCTGTTTATCATTTTCTTTTGGAAACATCTTTCTTTGGCTTCTGAGGCATCCCACAGACCAGATTTTCTATCTCCTCATCTGGCCCTCTTTATCAGTTTCCTTTGCATGGTTATACTTCCTTGCCCCACTTATTGGGTAACTCTATGTCTGTGTTTCAGGCCACCTCTCTACTTTTAATTTTTTTTTAAATATAGATGGGGGTCTCATTATATTGACCAAGGTGGTCCCAAACCCCTGGCCTCAAGCAGTTCTCCCATCTTGGCCTCCAAAAGTGCTAGGATTACAGGCATGAGACACTGTGCCCAGCCAAGCCCACCTCTCTGCTTATTTGAAATGCTTTCTCGGGTAATTTCATTCATTTTTACAGCCTCAATCCTTATTAATACACCTAAATATCCCTCTCATCTAAACTTCTGCTTTTAAGTTCCAGTCTATTGTTTCAGTCTCTACCCAGATGTCTCAAAACTTTATGTCTATAAATGTGTAAATAACAAGAACTTGATCTATTTAGAAATTATATAATAGTAAACATTACTCATAATTTAACTGTGAAAACACCACAGTTTTGAATCTTATGTCTGAAGGCTTTAGTGAGTTCACCTATAGATATAACATTTGCAAACTAATAGGTGAGAGATTGGGCTTTGAGTCAGATATTGGTTTGAGTCCATGCTCTGTTCTTTTTAACTTCATTAGTTTTCTTATCTTCTCTATTTCTCAGGGTCCTCATCGGTATAATCTGATCACTGACAGTAACTAGCACATTAGGTCGCTCTAAGCATGAAAATAGGTAATGCATGTGAAGTGTTCACACTGTAACAACCTTGCATTAATCCCTCAGAACAGTTTTTTATTATTATTAAAATTAGTATTGTTTTATTTTCCTGTTTATCTCAAATTATAAACTTTATAAATAATATGAGTCATTTTCTTTAATATTGGCCTATGAATCATAAACAAATAATTCATAGGCCAATATTAAAGAGAATGAACTCATGTTATTTAAAATTATTTATTTACACTTTTGACAATAAAAACAGAATTACCAACCAGTTGCATTCAAGTCACTAAATTAATTGTTTTAGAAAATCTCTATTCTTGGATTGCATAGGAAAAATCTAGTGTAACAGTAGATAGCACTATATAGGGAAACCAATAAAGGTAATAAAAGACAGATCCTGGACTTATCTTCTCGTGTATTAACATTAAATGAGGATGATAACAAGCTCAAGAGATCTGTTATACAACGTGGCGACCATAGTTAATAGCAATGTATTGTATAGAGTGCTTGAAAATCACTGAGAGTAGATTTCAAGTGTTCTCACTTTAATATCTGGTAAGTATGTGAGGTAAGCCATATATTAATTAGCTTGATTTAGCCATTGCACAATGTGTACATAGTCCAAAACATACTGTTGTACACCATAAATATATACAACTTTTTTGTTAGTTAAAAAAATAGTAAAATGATGATGACAAACACAGACCAGGAAGTAATAGTGTGGCTTCCACTAAGCCTATTTTATAAAAATAAAACATTCTGTTGTTTGTATCAGTTGGCCTGCAAAATCCAGAAAAATTATTCCCGTTTAAATCATAACACTTTCTGGTTTCATTTAATTCCACTGTTATTGTTAGGTTGAGAAATGTAAATAAATGTATAGAGATGCAAACTGAAAATAACAGGGACTAAACCTTCTCCCCATGGTTTCCCAGGAAGAAGATGGTGAAGTTAGAAATTCTTCCTAGTTTCCTTTCATTTATACAAAATCACACAGTAGCTAGGCTATATAATGTTTTGGCTGATGATTTCAATGCCTGTTACACATATCATTTTGTTATTTTGCGGCTTTTCTGGTTTTTTTCATTATCCTTCATCTGTCTATTTTCAGTTGCAAAGGAAATGTTTGTGTTGTATATGTGTTGTGTACATGCATGTTTTGAGATTGAGAGAAAAAGAGACAGACAGACACACAGGGACAGAAAGAGAGAAAACAGGAGCTCATACTGATTTTGTATTCATTAGAAGGCAAGCCCCATGAAGGTGGTAGACGTCCTGCTTTCCTCGCTGCTGTTATTTTTGTATTATCTTGATGCTTTTGGCACTCACCATATATTTGTTGGCTGTGTCGTGAAATGACATTCCCTGCTTTCGGAATTATGAGGAGGAGATGAGTTACTTATAAAAGCACTTAGAATTCTGCTCACATGGCCGGGCGCGGTGGCTCACGCCTGTAATCCCAGCACTTTGGGAGGCCGAGGCGGGTGGATCATGAGGTCAGGAGATCGAGACCATCCTGGCTAACAAGGTGAAACCCCGTCTCTACTAAAAATACAAAAAATTAGCCGGGCGCGGTGGCGGGCGCCTGTAGTCCCAGCTACTCGGGAGGCTGAGGCAGGAGAATGGCGTGAACCCGGGAAGCGGAGCTTGCAGTGAGCCGAGATTGCGCCACTGCAGTCCGCAGTCCGGCCTGGGCGACAGAGCGAGACTCCGTCTCAAAAAAAAAAAAAAAAAAGAATTCTGCTCACATGAACTATACAATTTTTTTTTTTTTTTTTTTTTTTTTTAGATGGAGTCTCGCTCTGTCACCCAGGCTGAAGTGCAGTGGCATGATCTTGGCTCACTGTAACCTCCACCTCCTGGGTTCAAGCAAATCTCCTGCCTCAGCCTCCAGAGTAGCTGGGATTACAGGCGTCCACCACCACGCCTGGCTAATTTTTGTATTTCAGTAGAGATGGAGTTTCACCTTGTTGGCCAGGCTGGTCTCCAACTCCTGACCTCAAGTGATCCGCCCACCTCTGCCTCCCAAAGTGCTGGGATTACAGGCGTGAGCCACTGCACCCAACCTACAAGCTCCTTAAATTGTATTTTTATTATGAAGACCCTCAAGTTTCACAGCCACTTGAGGTTTGATCATATCCTTTGTTTTATCTATAAATTTGCTCAAAGAGACTTCCCTCTCCATCTGTTTGTGATAGTTTTGTTGGGAACTCATTTCCATAGAACTTTATCTGAGGGAATATTTGAGGACTGGGCTTAGGGTACATTCCTCAGCATAGGATTTGGGTTTGCATGTCCCAGATATCTGGGATTGCTCCTGACCTGAGACCATTTTAAAACCACATTTGGGACTTTAAGGTCTTCTGGGACCCTTCCCCGGTGTGAAGGAGAGCCCATGGAGAAGAATTCTGCCAGGAGTCTTCTCTTTCCCTTCTCTACACAGAACAGTCTCTGAGACAGTCATGGTTATCTTCCATCCTCTTCTATGGGGTAGAACTTGCTTAATTTTTTGAATGTTTTAGTCTCATTTAGGGGTGCTAATCTAAGCTCTACCTGGACTGTGTGGCCATAGTCCTTGTTTACTGTCTCACACTTGGGTGTGGCCTATTAAATCTCAAACTCTGCATCGATGGGACCCCAGTGGTGTACTTCTAATGCCATCAAGAGAACATGATGCAAGAAGCTGAGGTGACTAATATTCCCTGTTCTTACACTCTGGATCTACCACCACTAAGGCCATGTTCTTTCAGGCTTCCCAGCTAATGAATAAGCGAAACAGAATTAATAATGCCAGCTCATCCTTGTAGGATGTGCACTCCTCTGACTTTGGCTACAGGACTCACCATCTCTCTGGCCAACATTACTGTTTTCAGAGCTGCCCTATTATATGAGGGCCTTCCTGCACGCCCTACTTCCATTCACAAATTTCAGCCTTGCATCAAAATCCAAAGGCTCTGCCTGTCTTCTCTGGCACCTTCCCATTGATCCTTCACAGAAATTTCCCCCCCAAATTTCTCCAACATATAATTATAACTTGGTGATTAGAACTGACGAGTAAGTAGCAAACACTAATCTAGGACAAGCATACTTTTCAAAAGGAATGTTACTTGTTGATTGTAACTTTTAAGAATTTACTTTACATTAACATCAACTCAACTGTGCAGTAAAAATAAATAAATCATTAATTTTAACATTTTTATTTTTAACGTTATGTGTTCTAGAAGAAAGTTTGTAGTTGGCCCGGCGCGGTGATTCATGCCTGTAATCCCTGCACTTCGGGAGGCCGAGGCAGGTGGATCACTTGAGGCCAAGAGTTCCAGACCAGCCTGGCCAGCATGGCAAAACCTCATCTTTACTAAAAATGCAAAAATTAGCTGAGCGTGGTGGCGGTTGCCTGTAATTCCAGCCATTTGGGAGGCTGAGGCAGGAGAATTGCTTGAACCTGGGAGGCAGAGGTTGCAGTGAGCCAAGAAACTGTCTCAAAAAAAAAGAAAAAAAAAAAGAAAAAAGAGAAAGAAGGAAAGAAAGAAAGAAAGAAAAGTTCTAGTTTCTCACTTTACGAGAAATGGGTCAGCACTGTCTTTTCCATATCAACATAAAACAATTGTGTGGGCTCTTTGACTAAAAATATAAAATGTACCTGAGAAATGTATATACTAAGTTATTTTTAATCTTGATGAACTATTGCTTTACCAACATATTGGAAGCTGTGTTAGTAGTGGCCTAATTTTCCAGAATTTTGATGATGCATATATGTGAGTATATCTTAAGCTAATGAAACTAATTAATGGATTGTAAAATTTTCTCTTTTGCTTCTCCCTTTTCCATGCCAGTTTTCACATAAATAGGACAATATCTTCTTACTTTTCCTGTCATCATGAGAATGCTGGACTAAGAATTTATGGGCATTAACCCCCCCATCTATTTAACCACCTATATTACATGTGTCCCTGATGTAACCTGAGCAAACTTAGCAAGTCTTTTATTCTGGGTGAATGCCCCGCTTCACCCAAATCATGAATGCTCTTTGCTTCATGGAACTCTATTGCTTTTGTTCCCAGAACCAATTATATCTTAGCTAATCTCTTGCCCCTTTAATTATCCTTGATAGTTTTCCAAATAAAATATGCAATCTGTGAACACTTTATTAGTCCCACTCTCTGGTTTATCCATTCATGGGTAAGGATACAGAATTGTCTGAATCCAGCTTATTATAAATTCATTATTCTCAATTGTGCCCAATGACAAAATTTTCCTTGCCCTGGGTCAACAATATTCTCAGTCATCTCTACTATTTAACTGTAAATCTCAAACTATGTGCTGTTTAGAATTATATGTGCCTATCCCATTCTGCCGGACGTACGTGTTCTTTTCTCCATGAGATTTACATCCTGTAATGCTCTGATTCAGAATTTTGGGGCCCAATCCCTATTCATTTGTGTCTTAACAGTCTTTGAAGGGATGTTTGACTTCAAGGATTCCTTGAAGTTTCCCTCTGAGCAAAGGTGAGATGCCTTTTGATTCATGCTTGCGTCATTACTAGCCCAGGTTTAGCTGACTTTTTTAGTGTAGGATTTGCAATTAACACACAATAAAGGCTCTCTGAACTTTAGTCTCTTTTCGAGGGAAATAACCATAAACATACTGCCACTCAGTACAGATGGAGAGGTTAGTGAAAATAAGCAGCATTTATGAAGGCATGCCAGAAGGACTATGGGCCAGCCATTTTCTCTGGATACTGGAAATTCTTCCTGTAATGAAGCCAGACCTGCATAGAGTATTAATACTCAACCACACAAAATTCAGATCTTACAGAAGTGCTTTTACAAAATATTCTTACAAAGACTCAGAGGGGGAAATTACAAGAAAATATTCTGTGAAACATCAGATTATTTACTTAAAGTTATTGTTGATGGCCATTATTTTCAGTACTCTTAGAAAAAGGATAATGAGAGATTTTTTTATTATGCAGCTAAAAGGAATAGTTTTGCCTTTTATTGAACAAAACAATTGTGTGTATGTTCATTTAACTTCTGGAAGATCTGAATCATGTAATTGTATCTGTTTTTTTCTATTTGTGGATAGACAGAACACTTAGAGCCACATGTGGAATACATTGCTAGAAACTAATTCTTCTTGGCATGGACTTTGTATACTAACTTAGTCCCTGGTTTCAAAGAATTTTTATTTTTCTTTCATTTTGATGTCCTCATCTAATTAATTTTATTGTATTTCATTCTGTTGGGTTATATGCAATTATAAGGCACAAAGTCTTACTGAAAAAAGAACATGAAATAAGCAAATATGCAAAAAAGATTAATATTCTATGAACAGTTCATATCTCATGCTTATACATAACTATCAAAGCACACACAATACTTGACATTTTATACATGTTCAGCAAACATTTATTTACCAAATGAAGAAAACTAGGGATTGGAAAACAAAGCTGTTTCTTCAATATTTTTTATTTATTAAAAAATACTACTAGAGTTTGTAATCCTGGCTGACTTTTATCTCAAAAGAGTCAACTCTGTATTATTGAAGTGCAGATTAATGGTTTAAATATTAATTGCATCCAAAATTTACATATTCTTATATAATTAAAATATACACTATATTTTTGAAAAGTTTAATTATTAACGATCAGTTTAACAACTAGAGATATAAGAATATATATGCTATTGGAATTTGTGATTAGCAAATTCCACTTGGAGTCTGCAACGTACAATGACATGCAAATTCCATTTTCCATTGTTTGTATTGTATTTTTAAACATCAAAAGAAAAAATGTTTTTAACTTTAACTCTAATATAATGTTGTCAAATAAGTGAAAGAGTTGTTAGACTTTAAAAAAACACATTACAATAGTGAGAAGCAGAATAAGTTATTTGTGATATGAAAGAGAAAAATGATGAGTTAATATAATTTTAATTCCAGTTGAGTTAAGAAAATGAAAAAGTGCATCATTGTCTCTTCTACTTGCAAATGATATTTCTTCTATTTTTAAGAGAGTAAAATTTGTCTTTCAGTTGACAGTGAGTTACAGGTGAAAAGCTTTTACTCTGATGTTTTACAGAACTGCTAAAATGTCCATGTGTTATTCTATAGAGAATTGTAATAGAGTTTAGTAGTATAAAAGTGTGAAAGATGTTTTTTACCTTAATATATGATATTTACTTGGTTGAGTTATATAACATTCAAAAATAGAGAATTTGGAGCCTGAAAACCTTGATTTCAGTTTAGCCTCCACTACTTACTGGATTTGTGACCTTAAGCAAGTTATTTCATTTTTCTCAAACTGGGTTTCCTCTTAGATGAAAATAACAATATCTACCTTCCTTTCATGTGATTTATTGAGACCAAATTGGAGTAATAGATAGTATAACTAGAACTTGGTTTTAAGTTATTTAAACATTATTTACTAGGTAAAACTTGTGCCTGTATAAAAATGAGAAACTTTATCTCTGAATGCAGATGCCATGTTTTCATTATTTGATAGAGATAAATAAACATGGAAATTGTATTACAATTTATACCAAACTGCAAGGGGCCAGGTGAGTCAACCAAATTATACGGACATGTCAAAACATGCTGTTTTACTTTGTTTTCATACTGCTATAAAGAACTGCCAGAGACTGTGTAATTCATAAACGAAAGAGGTTTAACTGAATTACAATTAAGCATGGCTGGGGAGGCCTCAGGAAACTTAGGAAATCATAGCAGAAGTTGAAAGGGAAGCAAGGAAACTTCTTCACAAGGTGGCAGGAAGAAGTGCCGAGCAAAGCGGGGAAGAACTCCTTATAAAACCATCAGATAACCTGAGAACTCACTCACTATCACAAGAACAGCAAGGGGCAAACCACCCCCATGATTCAATTACCTCCACCAGGTCTCTCCCTTGCTAGGTGGGGATTACGGAGATAATAATTCAAGATGAGATTTGGGTGGGGACACAAAGCCTAACTATATCACATTGAGTGAATGCATGCATATTCTTAAATGCAAAAATTGTAAATACATATATAAATAGATAAATAGATGTTTAGTGGAATGTAGATTTCTCTAAATATCTATGCAATTTTCATGAATATGAGGTGCAGGAACAATAACATTAAGAGTATCTAATATTATCTCAGCTCATACTGGCTGTGGTGTAGAATTCATAAGAGGAAGGCAGATTAAGTTCCCATTTCTTAGCTATTCTTAATATAAAGCAGTTTTAAAAACCCTGGTTATAGGATCCTATGAGACAAGCCTTAAAGGTATCTGATTGATTTAGATATAAATGACATATGGTTTTTTTTCTTATTATCAAGATGTTTTTGTAAATCTCATCTTTTTAAAGTGTCTCTTAATACACTTCTCTTTTTAACATTGGCTTCTAGAAAAAAATAATGAAGTAAGAAAAGAAAAGGGATTCTACATCTTGAGTGAGAAATTGCCTTATAAAAATGAACAAATAGAGGCTGGATGCAGTGGCTCACACCTGTAGTCCCAGCACTTTGGGAGGCTGAGGCAGGCAGATCACTTTAGGTCAGGAGTTCAAACCCAGCCTGGCCCACATGGTGAAAACCCATCTCTACTAAAAATGCAAAAATTAGCCAAGTGTGGTGGCACGCACCTGTAATTTCAGCTACTTGGGAGGCTGAAGAAGAAGAATTGCTTGAACCCAGGAGGCGGATGCTGCAGTGCACTGAGATCACGCCACTGCACTCCATCCAGCCTGGGTGACAGAGCAAGACTCCTCCGTCTCAAAAAGCAACAACAATAACAACAAAAACAAATAGAATAAGTGAAGAGATTTGATCTTATAATTGGTTGGAATATCCCATAACACTGCACTGTTTATGTTTGCACAATAATGAAAGTTCATTGAGTACATGTTCACTGACATATATGGATCCTCAGAAATATATATCTTAAACATATATATAAGTATATATAAATGTATACTCATACGCATAACTCAGATGTATGCAAAGACTTCATATATCTAGAATGTATATTGTGTATATTCTATATAATATGTAATGGAGGTTGATAGACATAACCTTTTCTTGATGGTGTAGGTTAGAAATAACTGGTTCATTTAGGGTAGGGCAGATTTCACTTGCACTGATATGGACAAATCAGTGTTAATGACAGAATGCAATAGAGTCATCCTGCTATGTAAACAGAAGCATAGATAACAAATAATACAAAATATGATAAAAGTTTACCTCATTCATAACATCATTTATCTGACCCTTTCCCGCAATTTATCTGGCCTATCTGCCACCATTTAATTAAAAAAATTACAGTGATTATATCATGACTGCTTTCAAATCTCACTGTACAACTCTAAAAACATACACTTATTTGATAGCCTTGAATTTCAGCAGAAAAGATAATACTTATAAGAGGTATAGACTTTA
The DNA here is from genome assembly GCF_000001405.40 of Homo sapiens. Lineage (NCBI taxonomy): Eukaryota > Metazoa > Chordata > Mammalia > Primates > Hominidae > Homo > Homo sapiens. The sequence goes on along the minus strand of NW_025791777.1, from coordinate 875,559 downwards.
AAATATATCATATTTGTGCAGAATATTTTAAGTTATAAATATGTATGCATAAGGCCTAGTTGATGTAACATTAGTATAGATGCTACAAATGCAAGTTCATTAAAGAATATTAAGATATTCTTCCCTGTAAATCTAAGGAAGCAAAACAATGGGAAATTTCTCAAAGATCTAAAGCAGGAGATGAAATAGGGACAAACTGAGTGTTTGCTCAACCGTAATTGTGAAGCAATCAGTTTAATTTTCTCACAGTTGATTTTGTTTAATTAGGAGATGACATTAGCTAACTTTGCAGTTCTACATCGTTGCAAAAAGGAAAGAGGAGGTTTTGACATATTGTGCCTTTACTATTAAAGAAATATCATTCAGTGAGTTTTTTGTACACATTTCTATTTGTGTGGTTTTTTTCACTGAAAATAATGCTTTTAAATTTCAGAATACAACAGCTTAACTTATCACATAATAGAGATATACATATTGTATATCCCTTTTAAAATTAGTGCTAATGTAGCATGAGGGAAATGTAATTCAACAAGCTCGGAGCCCCGGCCGAGCTTCGGAGCCCCGGCCCAGCCCCGGCCGCGCACGCGCAGTGACGCGCCGGCCATGCCGGCGGCTGTTGTCGGGCCTCCAGCGGGCGGGGCCGTTGGCGGAGCAGAGCGGAGGCGCAGCCGGGCGGAGGGCCCACGAGGGCTCAGCCTTCCCGGTCAGCGGTGGTGACGGTATCCCAGAGTGCCAGAGAACCGTTGCTTTTCCGAGTTGCTCTTCTTCCAGGCTCCGTTGGTGGTCGGCATGGCCCGTGAGTGGGGGTGGGAAGCGGCGGCGAGCGTCCGGCGTGGGAGCCTAGCGCTGAGGCGCGGCGGGCGGGGGAGGCGGAGTCCGGCTGGAGAATCCCCCTGGGTCGCGCAGTGCGGGGATCCCCGCTTCAGTCGGCAGAGAGAGAGCTCGCGGGTGGTTCCGGTCCGGCTTTTCAGGCCGGACGGGTGCCTGCCCCTCAGGTGCGAGTTTGTGCGGTAAAGAACACACCCCGGAGATGTGGACACGGCCGCCCCAGGAGGGTCCTTGTTTGGAGGTACTTTATAGCTGATACCTCAAGTCTTAAGGCCTAATGAGGACCGGGAACTCCAGTGAGTCGCCTCCCTAGTTCTTTTGTTTGGCGCTCGCAGGTAGTAGCCGAATAAACAGGAGGCTTTAGAGCCGGTCCTAAATTTGATGTTCGTTTGTACCAGTCCTAGGTGTTAGGTCAGTCTGTTCTGCAAAATGAAAACAATGAAGCCTACCTTGCAGGGTTGTGGCTAGAATAAGGATGTAAAGGCCCACACTGCCTTTCGCAGACTTACCTTCAATCTGTTCAGTCTCCATCCACCCCTCTCCGCCTCTGCATGGGGATAAAGGTAACTCTCAAGTGATGGGCTGAACTTGTGATCTCTGTATCTAGCTTTCTCTTCCACCCACTCCCCTCAAAAGCCAGAACTTATTTTGGGATACCGGCCCAAGATTCGAATATCTGTTTTAAAATATCTGGTATTTATAGCTAGTGACCACCTAGATTGGTATGATAATACTCTTAAGTCTTTAAGTGTTTAAGCCACTTCCTTATTGTCAGATCTAGGAGCACCATCAATCTGTTACTCTGCTAGTTTATCTATGAAAACACAAACTAAAGATGCATTTAAATAAGGCCTGTTTATTGGAATTATTAATAATTTTGGAGATGGGAAAAGAGCATGACTGTTTGACTTTGTAGGTGGAAATCAACGAGAACTTGCCCGCCAGAAAAACATGAAGAAAACCCAGGAAATTAGCAAGGGAAAGAGGAAAGAGGATAGCTTGACTGCCTCTCAGAGAAAGCAGAGGTACGTGGTACTAATTTAATTCTAAAGTCACTGACGTTGTGATTGAAGCAACATTTTGGGCTGGGTGTGTTGCCTCATGCCTGTAATCCCGGCAGTTTGGGAGAGTCGGGAGAACTGCTTGAAGCCAAGAGTTTGAGACCAACTTGGACAACATAGCCAGCCCCTGTATCTACAAAATATTTTTTTAAATTGGCCAGGCATGGTAGCACATGGCTGTGGTCTCGGCTACTCTGGAGGCTGAGGCGGGAGAATCGCTTGAGCCCAGGAGGTTAAGGCCGCAGTAAGCTGCGATTGCACCACTGCACTCCAGCCTGGATGGCAGAGTTAGACCCTGTCTCAAAAAAAAAAAAAAAAAAAAAAAAAAAAGAAGGCCTCATTTTGGGGAACAGAAAGCATTTTGTTAAGCCCTTGGTAGAACAGGGCCTAATGATTTGTGCCAGGCGGACTAAAACCACGTGGGGTAGACATCCCAACATATAGATAAAAACGTAAAGCTCTGAAGCTATTATTTGTTTCACAGAGACTCATGCAGCTCCTCCACAACCATAAGAACTTTTTATAGGCTGGGCGCGGTGGCTCACGCCTGTAATCTCAGCACTTTGGAAGGCCAAGGTGGGTGGATCACCTGGGGTCAGGAGATCGAGATCAGCCTGACCAACATAGTGAAACCCTATCTCTACTAAAAATACAAAATTAGCTGGGTGCAGTGGCACATGCCTGTAATCCCAGTTACTTGGGAGGCTGAGGCAGGAGAATCGCTTGAAACCGGGAGGGGGAGGTTGCAGCGAGTGAAGATTGTGCCATTGCAATCCAGCCTGGGTACTGAGCGGGAAACTCTGTATCAAAAAAACAAAACAAAACAAAAAAAAACAACTTTATTCAGCAAAATAACATCTTCTATATGCAAAACACTGTGAGGTGCTAGAGTTACAACATTTTCAAAGTAGACAGCCTACCCAAACTACTCTGAATGACAAGGGACTCAATTATTAATATATAATGATAATAGTTCTCAAGAAGATACAAAAAAGTATATGCATAATAGCTAGCTGTGCTGATTTCTGAAGATCCATTGCATTGGAGAGAATTCATGTGCATAGCCTTAATATATGACTATATGTGCCAATGTAAAACTGCTACAGAAATACTTTAGACTGCAGCTTAAGTAAAAAAAAGTACACTCATGTTTCTAAAAGAGCTAATCAAAGCTTAATTTTATTCTCAAATGATTTTGTCCATATGGAACTTGGAGGTTAAGCGAATAACTGACTGCATGTGCTTCAGTGTGGCTTGTTAGGGGTTCTCAATCCTGGCTGCACATTAGAATCACCTGGGAAACCTTGACAGCTACTCAAGCCTTGCGTTATGCTCAGTTTTGATTTTTTGTTTTTTTAAAAAATTGAATTACAATAGTTGTACATATTTTGGGGGTACATGTGATCTTTTAATACCTGTATGTGGGCTGGGTAGTCCCAGCCACTTGGGAGGCTAAGGCAGGAGAATCACTTGAACCTGGGAGGCGGAGGTTGCAGTGAGCCGAGATCCTGCCATTGCATTCCAGCCTGGGTGACAGAGTGAGACCCTGTCTCAAAAAAACAACAACAAAAAGAAACTGGCTTGGCGTGGTGGCTCATACCTGTTAGCCCAGCACTTTGGGAGGCCGAAGCGGGTGGATTACCTGAGGTTGGGAGCTCAAGACCATTCTGACCAACATGGAGAAACCCCATCTCTACTAAAAATACAAAATTAGCCAAGTGTGTGGCCGGGCGCGGTGGTTCACGCCTGTAACCCCAGCACTTTGGGAGGCCCAGGCGGGCGGATCACGAGGTCAGGAGATCGAGACCATCCTGGTTAACACGGTGAAACCCCGTCTCTACTAATAATACAAAACTTAGCCGGGCGAGGTGGCAGGCGCCTGTAGTCCCAGCTACTTGGGAGGCTGAGGCAGGAGAATGGCGTGAACCCGGGAGGCGGAGCTTGCAGCGAGCCGAGATCGTGCCACTGCCCTCCAGCCTGGGTGACAGAGCGAGACTCCGTCTCAAAAAAAAAAAAAGCCAACTGTGGTGGCGAACACCTGTAATCCTAGCTACTCGGCAGGCTGAGACAGGAGAATCACTTGAACCTGGGAGGCGGAGGTTGCGGTGAGCTGAGATCTCGCCATTGCACTCCAGCCTGGACAACAAGAGTGAAACTCCGGCCGGGCGCGATGGCTCATGCCTGTAATCCCAGCACTTTGGGAGGCCAAGGCAGGAAGATCACGAGGTCAGGAGATCGAGACCACGGTGAATCCCTGTCCGTACTAAAAATACAAAAAATTAGTCGGGCGCAGTGGCGGGCGCCTGTAGTCCCAGCTACTCGGGAGGCTGAGGCAGGAGACTGGCGTGAACCCGGGAGGCGGAGCTTGCAGTGAGCTGAGATCGCGCCACCGCACTCCAGCCTGGGCGACAGAGCGAGACTCCGTCAAAAAAAAAAAACCTTTATGTGTACAATGTGTAATGATCAAATCGGGGTAATTGGGATATCTCTATGCTCAAACATTTATCTTTCATCCAGTTCTGATTTAATTGGTCAGAGGTCGAGCATTAAAAAGCACCCTAGGTAAATTTTACTGTACTTAGGTTATGCCTTTTTTTTTTTTTTAAAGGCAGAGTCTTATTCTGTTGCCCATGCTGGAGGGCAGTGGCGTGATCTCGGCTCACTGCAACCTCCACCTCCTGGGCTTAAGCGATTCTCCTGCGTCAGCAATCCAAGTAGCTGGAATTGCAGGCGTCCGCCACCATGCCCAGCTAATTTTTGTATTTTTAGTAGAGACTGGGTTTCACCGTGTTGGCCAGGCTGGTCTCAAACTACTGACCTCAAGTGATCCACCCGCCTCGGCCTCCCAAAGTGCTGGGATTACAGGCGTGAGCCACCACGCTGGCCCAGTTATACCTTTTTTTTTTTTTTTTGAATTTTTTTTTTATTATTACGCTTTAAGTTCTAGGGTATATATGCACAACGTGCAGGTTTGTTACATAGATATACATGTGCCATGTTGGTTTGCTGCACCCATCAACTCATCATTTACATTAGGTATTTCTCCTGATGCTATCCCTCCCCCAGCCTCCCAGCACACCCAGTTATACCTTAAACTGAACTTAAAACAGCTCCCAGGTGATTCTAATGTGCAGCCACTATTAAGAGTCATTGATAAATGAGATTAAAGACCTTAATTTAAGGCAAAGGTCCTGACACCTTTTTTTTTTTTTTTCCCAGATATGGCGTCTTACTCTGTGACCCAGACTGGAGTGCAGTGCCACAGTCTCGGTTCACTGCAAGCTCTGCCTCCCAGGCTCAAGTGACCCTCCCACCTCAGCCTTCTGAGTAGCTGGGACTACAAGGGCACACCACCAAGCCCAGATAGTTTTTATATTTTTTGTAGAAACGGGGTTTCATCATGTTGTCCAGGCAGGTCTTGAACTTCTGGGGTCAAGTGATTTGCCCACCTCAGTCCCCCAAAGTGCTGGAATTACAGGTGTGAGCCACTATGCCCGGCCCTAACATTTATTATTAAAGTGATAAGCTTTGTCTTCAATTTCTGTTGACTCACATTAGAGTAAAAATGAACATGGTATGAATCAGTGACCCTGCAATAGTATTTTTATTGGAGAACCTAGTCTAGCTTGGTTCAGAAATTGTCATTGTTTACCAGATATGCACTCCTTATAAAATTCTATGCTAGACATTCTATATACATTATTCTTTATTCATCATAACTCTGAAAAATGGTATTAGCACTAATCTGTAGAATAGGAAACTGAGGCTCTGAACTTCAGTAACATTACTAAAGTTACACAGCAAGCACAACAGAGCTTGGTTTCAAATAGAGAAGTAACTGTCATGGTTCTTTTTCCACTGTACTTCATTTCTTTATAGCTATGTTTTTGTTTTTGTTTTAGTGAAAGCAAGTTTATTAGGAAAGTAAAGAAATAAATATTGGCTACTTTATAGGCAGAACAGCCTGTAGCTGTGTTATTTTGCCTTTCTTCTTTATTTTTATTTTATTTTATTTTATTTTATGTTTTTGAGACGGAGTTTCGCTCTTGTTGCCCAGGCGGAGTACAATGGCGCAATCTCAGCTCACCGCAACCTCCACCTCTCGGGTGCAAGTGATTCTCCTGCCTCAGCCTCCCAAGTAGCTGGGATTACAGGCATGCACCACCATGCCTGGCTAATTTTGTATTTTTAGTAGAGATAGGGTTTCTCCATGTTGCTCAGTCTGGTCTCAAACTCTCGACCTCAGGTGGTCCGCCTATCTCAGCCTCCCAAAGTGCTGGGGTTACAGATGTGAGCCACTGGCCTATTTTGCCTTTCTTCTATTCCCTTGTTTTTGCTATTGGCTTTACAGAAATATCTTACCATCATGGCTGTGGAAATCAGTTTAGCATTTCCTCAAAAAGTTAAAACAGGCCAGGCTCAGTGGCTTACACTTGTAAATCCAGCACTTTGGGAGGCCGAGGCGAGCGGATCAACTTGAGGCCAGGAGTTCGAGACAAGCCTGGCCAACATGGTGAAACCCTGTCTCTACTAAAAATACAAAAATTAGGTGGGCTTGGTTGCACATGCCTGTAATCCCAGCTACTTGGGAAACTGAGGCAGGAGACTCGCTTGAACCAGGGAGGTGGAGGTTGCAGTGAGCAAAGATTGTGCCACTGCACTGCAGCCTGGGCAACAGAGCAAGACTCTGTCTCAAAAAAATAAATAAAAAATTAAAAAGTTTGAAACATGAGGTTAATAAGTCAGAGTTGTGGGACTTTAACCAGAGCTGGTAGAGTGCTTGACACACAGTAGATGTTGAATGCATGGCCGTTTAGTCTGTTTTTAAAATATGGGTCCATGGACTCATGAATCACCTAACCCAGGTAGTCTGGTCATAGTTCACAGTTTATATGGCATGTGTCAGTTTGACTGGAGATGAGAAGGGTTAAGGGCTGGGCGCAGTGGCTCACACCTGTAATCCCAGCACTTTGGGAGACTGAGGCAGGCGGATCACAAGGTCAGGAGTTCGAGACCAGCCTGGCCAATATGGTGAAACCTCGTCTCTACTTAAAATGCAAAAATTAGTCGGGTGTGGTGGCGCATGCCTGTAGTCCCAGCTACTCAGGAGGCTGAGGCAGAAGAACTGCAAGCAGGAAGTGGAGGTTGCAGTGAGCCAAGATCGTTCCACCGCACTCCAGCCTGGGGGACAAAGCGAGACTCCGTCTCAAAAAAAAAAAAAAGTACCCTGAACATCCAGCTTTTCTTTATTGTAATCCAGTTTTAGTGACTAGCTTTTGGGCTTTTTTGCTTGTAAGAAACTGAAATCCTTCATAATATCTATGTTCTAGTCGTAGATACCAGTTAGGATACCTAGGAGAGTTCTTAAATGCCTCTTCTTTCAAGGAAAAAAATTAGAATGAATTAACTAGTTAACAACCAAGAGTAATAGCTATTATTTCTACATGTAGCTGCCTAATGTCACACACTTTTATATATTCATAGTGATTCCTTGTAACAACCTTGATACATATTGCCCGGATTTTGAAAGGGCTTTGAGGTTATTTGCCCAAGGTCATGATAACAGAGATGGTATTCAGAATAAGATCTGACTTCAAAGCCTTTCCAGTCTGTCTTTCCATTTTGTCTCCAGCCATGAAAATGGAAAGACAAAAAAGTTTATATCCTCTTTTAAATTGTCTTCTAATACACTGAATGGGTTATGTGTAGAAACCAAGTGAGAATATATAATTGGTTTTTCTGTAACAACTTATAGACTTTTCCCTCATTGTAGGGACTCTGAGATCATGCAAGAAAAGCAGAAGGCAGCTAATGAGAAGAAGTCTATGCAGACAAGAGAAAAGTGATGACTGGCTATTTGGAAAACCTGGGTGCTACTGCCAACTGGGTGTATCATAAGCTCTAAGATCAAGATTTTGTAGAGTGGACAGTCATTACATATGTTATAACTTATCCTTTAAAAACTATTTTAAACTTTATCCTTTCAGCTTTACTTAGTGCGATGTTTTAGAAGCAGTCTTCAAAGAATAAAACACTAACCATGCATGTGACATATTGGTGAACATTATTTTTATTATTGAACATTCATATATAATTTATTAGGTAATATGATCAGATAATAGGATCTCTTATATAATAAAGAATCTTTGTCATCAGCTTTGTTAACATAGTTTTTTTTTCCTCACAGTTTCTAAGGATAAGGATAAAGTAGATCTTTGAAGTAAACTTAAATATATAATAGAAGTTAGGGTCCATTTGTATAATTTTGCTTTGAAATCAAGTTAAAGGGCCAGGTGCGGTGGCTTATGCCCACAATCCCAGCACTTTGGGAGGCCGAGGCGGGCGGATCACTTGAGGTCAGGAGTTTGAGACCAGCCTGACCAACATGATGAAACCTCATCTTTACTAAAAATACAAAAAAAAAAAAAAAAAAAAAAAATAGCCAGGTGTGTGGTGGCACATGCCTGTAATCTCAGCTACTCGGGAGGCTGAGGCAGGAAAATCGCTTGAACCCAAGGCAGAGGTTGCAGTCAGCAGATATTGCACCACTGCACTCCAGCCTGGGCAACAAAGCAAGACTCTGCCTCAAAAAAAAAAAAAAATCAACTTACAAAGCTTGCTTGAACAATTTACAACAGATACTTCAAACCACTGGAATAGAAACTAAGTGGATGTAAACTGAGGTCTCAGTTCTACTTATAGCTTTAACATTTTTTGGAATGAGTACCATATTTTCTGTTCTCAGCCTCTTCTAAAACTTGAGTCTTGATGGTAGTTATAAATTTGGAAATATGTAACCTAGAGAAATTAAGGTTTGAGACCTTGCTGCACTCTGAAGTAAACACAAAACTATGTCAGAGAGAATAAAAATGCCATTGTAGTAGTAAATAGAATAACTTAAAGTATTCTACAAATACTTGATTTTTCACATAATGCAATTTAACAAATTTTTCTGATCACCCAATATGTCAACCACTATCTGAATGGACAGATCTTGAAGTTAGCCTAACACAATATCTTGTGATTTGTCTCTTACCAGTGGTACCACCCATAAATAGGCTAGAATTTTTTGTGTCTAATACTGAATTCGACAACCAGGAAGTTTTTTGGGTTTTTGTGGGGTGTTTTTTTTTTTTTTGAGACAGAGTCTTGCTCTCTCGCCCAGGCTAGAGCGCAGCAGTGCCATCTCGGTTCACTGCAACCTCCGCCACCTGAGTTCAAGCGATTCTCCTGCCTCAGCCTCCTGAGGAGCTGGGACTACAGGCGCCCGCCACCACGCCCGGCTAATTTTTGTGTTTTTAGAAGAGATGGGGTTTCACCATTTTGGCCAGGCTGGTCTCAAACTACTAACCTCAGGTGATCCACCCTTCTTGGCCTCCCATAGAGCTGGGATTACAGGCGTGAGCCATCCCACCCGGCTGAAGTTTTTTAGCCTGAGTTTCTATCTTCATATTAGCCTAGATTTTTCATTAAATTAAAACATTGTTCTGGATCTTTGGTTAACTTTAGTCTTCAGAATATTCTATGATGGTAGTCACAAAGGCAAAAATTAAGTAGCTTAAGTTACATTCTAATAAAAGAAATAATAAAGAAATCTGATTGTACCACAAAGATTCTTTGTGGGCCTGGTTTCTGTAATTCTGTCTCCAGAATTTCTACACAGACTAATAAGCCATAAGTACAAAAAAACTTTTCATGCTTTAAGCTCTTTTCTTTGCCTTTTTTTTTAAATGAATAATTTCTTTAGTTTATCCTGTGGAATGGAAGAACTTTAGACCTTTTAATTCTTATAAATCGAGGGAAAGCTACGTTTCCAAAATAAAATGGATATTAGAATAAGGAAGATCTCTAGTTTGTAATCAATCATTAGTACTTTTTTTTTTTTTTTTTGAGGCAGGATCTCGCCTTGTCACCCCGGCTGAGTGCAGTGGCACGAACGTGGCTCACTGCAGCCTCAACCTCCTGGGCTCAAGTGATCCTCCTGCCTCAGTCTCGTCTCCCAAGCAGTTGGGACTACAGGCGCATGCCACCACGTCAGGCTGATTTTTATATTTTTGGTAGAGATAGGGGTTTTGCCATGTTGCCCAGGCTGGTCTCCAACTCCTGAGCTCAAGTGAGCCACCTTCCACCTCTGCCCAAAGTGCTGGGATTACAGGCGTGAGCCACCATGCCTGGCCATTCTTGATTAATTTTTATGGCATTTAATTAAATAAATTTATTGTTAAGAGGTTTGATTTTTAACTGCAATATGACCAGATGTTTCCTCAAAGCAGGCGGAAAAATTATCGGAGAGGAAGAAAATTAAGTCTAATTGTTGGAGTATATTGACACCTATCATGTGGTATATTGTAATATATATATATATGCAATACATTGACACCAATCATGACACCACCATGTGGTATAGTTAAGGTAACTAAAAGTAGCTGAACTTATAAAGAGGGAAACAGGTCAATTATAGGATACTAAGGGAAAATACAGGTGAATAGCTTTTTTTTTTTTTTTTTTTTTTTTTTTTTGAGACTGTGTCTTGCTTGCTCTGTTGCTGAGGCTGGAGTACAGTGGCACAATCTCGGCTGACTGCAACCTCTGCATCCCGGGTTCAAGCAATTCTCCTGCCTCAGCCTCCCAAGTAGCTGGGATTACAGGCGTGCACTACCACACCCAGCTAGTTTTTTTGTATTTTTAGTAGAGACAGGGTTTCACCATGTTAGCCAACCTGGTCTCAAACTCCTGATCTCAAATGATCTGCCTGCTTCGGCCTCCCAAAGTGCTGGGATTACAGATATGAGCCACCATGCCCATCCCTGGAGAATAATTTTAATTATTATTATTATTATTATTATTATTTTTTTTTGAGACGGAGTTTCGCTCTTGTTGCCCAGACTGGAGTGCAGTGGCGTGATACTGGCTCACCGCAACCTCTGCCTCCCGGGTTCTCCCACCTCAGCCTCCCGAGTAGCTAGGATTACAGGCATGAGCCACCACGCCCGACTAATTTTGTGTTTTTAGTAGAGACGGGGTTTCTCCATGTTGGTCAGGCTGGTCTCGAACTTCTGACCTCAGGTGATCCGCCCACCTCGGCCTCCCAAAGTGCTGGGATTACAGGCATGAGCCACCACGCCCAGCCTTAGGAGAATAATTGTAAAAAGTAAATTCATGTAATGATTTTATTTAGTTTGGATATTGTTAGGGCTTGTTGCTAAAGAAAGATAAAATTATTAGGTGAGATAGTACCAGATTTAGAATATAATTTGGAAAATACCAAACTCCATGGAACCCTCCCTTTAAACATCAAAAATCGTATTTTGCATCATTCTTAGGAGGTAGTGCGTTATCATTAGCAATTTTCATTAAGTCCTGCTGAAAATGAGAAGCAGCAGCCATTACTGCCCAAGATACACTGTGGTCAGTTTTATCAGTTACTTTTTTTTTTTTTTTAAACAGAGTCTCGCTTTGTCATCCAGGCTGGAGTGCAATGGTGCGATCTCCGCTCACTGCAACCTCCACTTCCGTGCCTGGCTAATTTTTTGTAGTTTTAGTAGGGATGGGGTTTCACCATCTTGGCTAGGCTGGTCTCGAACTCCTGATCTCAAGTTATCCACTCGCTGGCCATCAGTCATTTATTTTTGAATGCCTCTTCTATTAGTAGCATGTGTAAGAAATTGTGATCCATTTATCAAACTAGCCAGTTTTTGAAAATAGGGCTAAAAGGAAACGTTGATTTCTGACATTTTCCAAAAACTTAAAAAATTTTTATATAGGCTGGGCACAATAGCTCACGCCTGTAATCCCAGCATTTTGGGAGGCCGAGGCAGGTGGGTCATTTGAGCTCAGGAGTTTGAGACCAGCCTGGGCAACACAGAAAAACCTCATCTCTACCAAAAAAAAAAAAATTAGGTGGGTGTGGTGGTGCACGCCTGTAGTCCCAGCTACTTGGGAGGCTAAAGTGGGAGGATCACCTGAACCCAGAAGGTCAAGGCTGCAGTGAGCCGAGATTGCACCACTGCCCTCCACCCTGGGTGATAAGAGTGGGACCCTGTCTCAAAACATACACACACACACACACACACACACACACACACACACACTCTCTCTCTCTCTCTCTCTCTCTCTCTCTCTCTCTCTCTCAAAAACACTTGGTCTGTTATTTTTACGAAATTGTCAGTCATAGTTATCTGTTAGACCAAAGCTGAGTAAGAACATTTATTACATTGCCTCCTACAACTTCATCAGCTAATGTATTTGCTATATAGCAATTACATATTGGAATATATTATCTTTAGAGATGGCCAAGTCATAAAACTGTCACTGAGAAAAGGAGAATGACAATGTGTATGCTCAAATGTACTTCCCTATAAATTTCCAAAAGACATGAAACTTACTACAGGTTTGTTTTTTTCACACCTTCACTTCTTAAAAACAAAAAAACTTTTACATAGCAGTAACTAATGCACATTAAAAGTTTATAAATAGCCTGCTATTGGATCATTTGCTTGGAAAAGTTGAGATTTTCAAATTTGATTATAACATAACTTTTGTAGAAATACACGGCCAGGTGCAGTAGCTCACATTTGTAATCTCAGCACTTTGGGAGGCTGAGGTGGGAGGATCGCTTGAGGCCAGGAGTTTGAGACCAGCCTGGGCAACATGACAAAACCCCATCTCCTCAAAAAGCACAAAAATTAGCCAGATGTGGTGGTGCACACCTGTAGTCCCAGCTACTTGGGGGACTGAGGTGGAAGGATGGTTTGAGTCTGGGAAGTTGAGGATGCAGTGAGCCAAGGTCATGCCACTGCACTCCAGCCAGGGTGACAAAGTGACACCCTGTCTCAATATAATAATTTTAAAAAGGTGCCTGTAATCCTAGCACTTTGGGAGGCCAAGGCGGGCGGATCACGAGGTCGGGAGTTCAAGACCAGCCTGGCCAATATGGTGAAACCCGTCTCTACTAAAAATACAAAAATTAGCCAGGTATGGTGGTGTGTGCCTGTAATACCAGCTACTTGGGAGGCTGAGGCAGGAGAATCGCTTGAACCCGGGAGGTGGAGATTTCAGTGAGCCGAGATTGCACCACTGCACTCCAGTCTGGGTGACAGAGCAAGACTTCATCTCAAAGAAATAAATAAATAAAAAACAAGGCCGGGCATGGTGGCTCATGCCTATAATCCAGCACTTTGGGAGGCTGAGGCTGAGGTGGGCAGATCACCTGAGGTCAGGAGTTCAAGACCAGCCTGGCCAACATGGTGAAACCCCGTCTCTACTAAAAATACAAAAATTAGCCAAGCGTGGTGGTGGGCGCCTGTAATCCCAACTACTTGGGAGGCTGAGGCAAGAGAATTTCTTGACTCTGGGAGGCAAAGGTTGCAGTGAGCCGAGACTGCACCACTGCACTCTAGCCTGAGCAACAGAACAAGACTCTGTCTCAAAAAAAAAACAAAAAAAAAAACATACAAACCGAATTTCCATTCCACATACTACTCTTGCTGTTTTACCACTTGGACAAGACTGCTTGCTGGTACATAAGTTCTGGAACACTTCCTTGCAGCAGTCTGGCTGAGCCTTGGTATTTAAAAGAAATTTACCTACCAGCCTGGCTATAATTGACATAATCCTATTAAATACTTGCCTTTTATGAACATATATCACATGACATAAGTTTTTGTCAAATACTTTTTTTTTTGGTCAAAGACTGTAGCCTTATACCACTCAAGGGGGCTGTTAGGGTAGCTTATGAATGGATATTTCATACAGAGTTACGTATTTAACCCATTTCCTGTTTAGAAAATAAAAGTGGCCAGGCGCCGTGGCTCACGCCTGTAATCCTAGCACTTTGGGAGGCCGAGGTGGGTGGATCACGAGGTCAGGAGATCGAGACCGTCCTGGCTAACATGGTGAAACCCCGTCTCTACTAAAAATACAAAACATTAGCCGGGCATGGTGGCAGGCGCCTGTAGTCCCAGCTACTCGGGAGGCTGAGGCAGGAGAAAGGCATAGACCCGAGAGGCGGAGCTTGCAGTGAGCCGAGATCATGCCACTGCACTCCATGCACTCCAGCCTGGGCGACAGAGTGAGACTCCGTCTCAAAAAAAAAAAAAAGAAAAAAAGAAAAAAAAAGTGCAGCTGGCTGCCAGCGCTCATTTAATTTTACATAAACACACTCTGAGGTTGACGCAAATTAATTTTCAATGTGAAAATACACAAACTGTTCTTAGAGTTATTTCTAAACAGAACTTGTCTCTAATCCTAATATAATGGAAATGTATATAATGTTACATTAGGATTAGAGGCAAGAGTATTCTTGGGGCAAACGGGAAATGGGTTAGTATATACTTGAAGTAATATAACCACATCTAACCTGATTTCATGATATATTGGAATTTTTGGTTGCAAGCAACAGGATCAGATTAATGAACTTACTGATAAAAATCTTATTTGAAAGAATGAGAGACTCCAGAGTCATGGAAAAGTTGAGGACTCAAGGCTTTGGAAAGGTCAAGAATTGTAACAGTTTCAGGTATCTTAAGAGTAGGTGTTATGAGGTGTTTGTTTTTGTTTTTTTTTCTTACGGTGCTGATATCAGGTTGAACTTCTGACATGTATATTTAGTTTTTATGTCACTTGGAGTGCCTCCAACTGAAGTTACATGGGTTAGGTACCCATCCCTCAGCAAGAGGAGGGCAAGTTGATGGTAAAACCAACTCTAGTAAGGAGTAGGTGGTCCCCTGTATTAGTCCGTTCTCATGCTGATAATAAAGACATACTCGAGACTGGATAATTTATAAAGGAAAGAGGTTTAATTGACTCACAGTTGTGTATGGCTGGGGAGGCCTCAGGAAGCTTACAATCATGGCAGAAGGGGAAGCAAATACATCCTTCTTCACATGATGGCAGGAAGGAGAAGTGCAAAGCAAAAGGGGAAAAGCCCCTTATGAAACCATCAGATCTCCTGAGAACTCACTCACTATCATGAGAACAGCATGAAGGTAACCACCCCCATGATTCAATTACCTCCCACCAGGTCCCTCCCATGACACATGGGAATTATAGGAGCTACAATTCAGGATGAGATTTGGGTTGGGGACACAGCCAAACTATATCATCCCCCAAAAAATTTAGGGTTCTTTGCCAAAAGGAAGGGAGAATGGATGCTGAGCAGACTAAAATAATATATTTTAATCCCTCTTATTGAAAAGCTAAGACTAAATTTTTAAAATTGTATGTTTTTGTTTTTTTGAGACGGAGTGTCGCTCTGTCGCCCGGCTGGAGTGCAGTGGCGCGATCTCAGCTCACTGCAACATCCACCTCCCGAATTCAAACAATTCTCCCACCTCAGCCTCCTGAGTAGCTGGGACTACAGGAGCATACCACCATGCCCAGCTAATTTTTGTATTTTTAGTAGAGATGAGGTTTCACCATATTGGTCAGGCTGGTCTCGAACTGACCTCAGGCAATCTACCCACCTTGGCCTCCCAAAGTGCTGGGATTACAGGCATGAGCCACCACGCCCAGCTAATTCTGTATTTTAAGTAGAGACGGGGTTTCACCATGTTGGTCAGGCTGGTCTCGAACTCCT